>NC_000007.14:83415869-83718900 GCF_000001405.40 Homo sapiens
CGATAGTCATCTTTTTGCTGGAGGCTTGTCTTAACCCATCAGCAGAGAACATGTGTGGTCACAAAATACCCATTAATACATTCTTTCACAGTCAGAGTAAGTTCTACCGAGCTTGCCAAATTCCAACTCAGGTAGCTTCATTTTTCCAGCCCACATTCCTGCTGCTTTTTCAATTGGGTGAATTATTTTCACTTCCTCTCTTTTAAAGAGTTTCTGGCTCACATAGGTTATCAGGTTTCCATCCAGTGGCTGCTGCATTTCCACAGTGAGTGAATGATCTCTCCAAGGTACTTTGGGATGAAAGTGAGTGGATAAATGTGAAGAATTATATTTTTATTTCTTCTCTTTGGAGGGATTATTCTATAACTTTTGTGTTTAGCTTGGAGGGCTCCTTTGATTTGATTTCTCTTCGAAATAAGCGAAACAGCCACCCAGATGGCAAGCACTTCAGATTTCAGCATAGTGTAATTTGATTTGGAGGTTCAATGAAACTCACTTAGAAATGTCCCTCCAGTAATATTTCCCCTCTTAGAAATTTAACTTTTAAATTCTTGGCTTCATGCAGAAACAAACTCCTAGGGAGGCTGAGTAGTGAGTGGCAAGGTGGTCATAGAAATTATTATTAACTCTTTAAATGAAATGTTAAAAAATAATTTGCCTTCTAATATTCTCAGGATTTCACTATAGAAGCAGCATATACTGTGTAATTTTTAATTTCCAATTCCCTTTTTATGATTCTTATGAATAATATTCCAAAATTAATTTTGCATTTGTTTAGGAACCTCAGTAAGAATTACATTTAGTATTTATAGGAGACTTAGTCTTTGCAAGATACTATATGGCACAAGAAAGATAAGAAAGTCTCTTTTTTTCAAACATATTAAAATCTTTATGAAGAAAAATTCACTAACAACTTCAGAAAAAGATGGTGTGAGACTATGAGATACATAAATTTTAATGTATATTCTGTCAGTTGCATTGGAATTTCTTGCATTTATGGACCTGGCATCCCCCAAAAGTGTTATTCCTAAGGTTTTGATTTTACCAAGTCTAACCTGACTTAGGCAACCCTTTTCTCATATTTAAAGTCTTCCTTTTTTTAATACTCTGTTTATACACACACACACACACACACACACACACACAGGGAGAGAGAGAGAGAGAGAGAATTGGTAGAGAAACTCAAAATATTTCAAATTAATATTTTCTCTTTAATATTTATTTTTCTCAAATATTGTACCTCTTTATTCAAGCCCCTGAAGAACTTAATTACTATATAATTCTCATTTTATAGCCTTGTCCAATTATGAAGCTGAAGTAAATCAAACTTTTCCCATTAATTAGAGTTAACATGAGGTGTTTGCTCTATAAATACATAGGTTTTAAAAAGCTTTACTTTTTTACACCTGAGAACCAGATGTAGGGAATAGAATGCAAGACCCATCAAAATAAACTGACTTGAATATGTTTAGGGAACACAGATTCTCAAGAATATGCAGTAGCATCTGTATCAACTCTAAATCAAGTATAATATGGTTTAATCATCAGGAGAGAGTTTTAAGTTTTAATCGTTTATTTAGAATGTGAAGTCTCTACATTTTATTCTGTACTCATTTTCTGCAAAGAAGATGACCTAATATTAGCATATAACTCTAAACATTATAAATGTAATAATGCAACCTTGCACATCTGCACCATACATGCATCAGAATCTCTCAACGCTGAGGGAAGAAAATCACTTCCATTAGTACCTATGTCAGTGTTGGGGATTGCTCTTTTTAATTGAAGGCTTAGGAGCTCATTCATCAGTCTTTACTGTCACAGTGCTGAAATAGTTTGCCAAGTTTGCAATTTTTAACCCCAAATTGCAGGAAAATATTACTTAGTTGTGTCTTAAGTGAGATTGTTTGGTACTTTGTCTAATTAAATTAAATCGAATTGAACTCCAGATCCAACTTTATCAACTCATGTCATTATTTCCGTATGTACATTTAGTGATAGGTTGAGCGGATCAACTTCTATAGTTTACATTCTAGATTAACAGAAATTTAGATAAATAAATTTAAGTTCTCAAAAGAGATGAGTTTCTGCTGAATTCTACTAATAACAGAGAAAGATACCATAAAGAATATTAAAAGTTCTCTAAAGTCACAAAATAATTGAAACATGAAGAATTAACACATATATTAAAATAGTTTCATTTCTCTGGCAAAATTTTTATAAAGTCTTCATATAATTGCATTTTATAAGCATCACATGACACCAAATACATGAGATATTAAACGACAATTTGTTTTCTCAGAGTGAGACACACACACTTTATAGCATCTGCACTTATTTTAGAGTCAAATTGCTCAGGTTAACATGGCTTGAAATTTAATATCATTGCTTCGAGCATCAGAAAATAGATATGACAAGGCATAGTATGTAAAGAAATGCTGAAAGAATGTAACTGAAGTTGAAATATATGTTTTAAAATCCTTATGACTACCACCTGATGTCTGTGGCAATGACAATTACCAATTAAAGTGGAGATGAAGGAGGAGCTGGGGTCAAAAGGACATCTGCCCCTTCCTCTCTCAGATCTGGGTGATTCCAGGTGAAACAGAGGATCCTTGAAAGAAAACCAGAAAAATCATTATGAATATGCCTCCTCTAATAATCATTTAATTCCTTAGGTAAAACATATGAAACTTCGATTATTTATAAAGCATGTATTCTAAATAGAGCACCAGTAGCATCAATTTATTTAGAGACAAACTGGGTTTTATAAATAAGCACATGTGTTTTACAGACCCATAAGAGTTCTCTCACTCCTCTGAAAAAGTATGCAGGTGATGAAAGAAAATAGCACTTTTTAAATCATTTTATGAGACTGTATTATTTATTCTGAGATGTGTCAATGAAATATTTGAAAGGAATTGAAACTTGCTGGAAAAAGGTTAATGAAAAGGAGGTTCAATGTTAAAAATGATAGTGGGCTTTTATCAAGCATATCAAGAATGCTGTTGTTGATTTTTTTATAAATTAGATTTTTATTTTTGATATAAGGGGTACATATGCAGGTTTGTTATATGGCCTTATTGTGTGATGCTGAAGTTTGGGGTATAAATTATCCCATTAGCCAGGTAGTGAGCATAGTGTCCAACAGGCATTTTGTCAGCCCCTGCCCCCCTACGTCTCATCCCCCTCCAGTGGTCTCCAGTCTCTATTATTGCCATCTTTATGTCTGCATGTACCTAATATTTAGCTCTCACTTATAAGTGAGAACATGCAGCATTTTGTTTGCTATTCCTGCCTTAATTCACTTAGGATAATGACCTCTACCTACATCAATTTTGCTGAAATGGACATGATTTCATTCTTTTTTATGGCTGTGTAGTATTCCACTGTGTATAAATACCACATTTTCTTTATCCAGTCTAGCATTAATGAGCACTTAGGTTGAATTTATGTCTTTGCTATTGTGAATAATTCTGCAATGAACATATGAGTGAGTTAGTAGAGGAGCTCAAAATATTTCAAACACACATTGTCTTTTTGGTAGAATGATTCATTTTCCTTTGGAAATTTACCCAGTAATTGGGATTGCAGGGTCAAATGGTAATTCTGTTTTAAGTTATTTGAGAAATCTCTAAACTTCTTTCCACAATGGCTGAACTAATGTATACTCCTTCTAAGAGTGTATAAGCTTTCCCTTTTCTCCACAGCCTCTCTGACATCTGTTATTTTTGACTTATTATAATAGCCTTCCTGACTGGTGTGAGATGATACCTCATTGTGGTTTTGATTTTCATTTCTATGATGATTAGTGATATGGAGCATTTTTTAATGTTTTTTGGCTTCCTGTATGTCTTCTTTTTAGAAGTACCTGTTTATATCCTTCGTCCACTCTTTAATGGGGTTATCATGATTAAAACTCTCAACAAACTAGGCATTGAAGGAACATTTGTCAAAATAATAAGTCGTATATGACAAACTCACAAACATCATACTAAATGGACACAAGCTGGAAGCATTCCCCTTAAGAACAAGAAAAAGACAAGGATGCTTACTCTCACCACTCCTATTCCACATAGCACTGGAAGTCTTAGCAACAGCAATCAGGCATCAAAATAGAAAAAGAAGTCAAACGATCTCTCTTCACTGATTGATTCTATACCTAGAAAATTCTAAAGACTGCTGAAAGTCTCCTAGAACAGATAGATGATTTCAATAAAGTTTCAAGATACAAAATCAATGTCTAAAAATCAGCAAAATTTCTATACACATATAGCATTCAAGCTGAGAGCCAAATTAAGAACACAATCTAATTTAAAATACCCACACACAATAAAACCAGAATATCTACAAATACATCTAAGCAAGGAGGTGAAAAATCTCTACAAGGTGAAAGGCCTCTATAAGGAGATACTGCTGCAGAAAATCATATAGATGATACAAACAAATGGAAACACATTCCATTCAGATGGACTGGAAGTATCAATATGGTTAAAATGGCCATACTGCCCAAAGCAATCTACAGATTCATTGCTATCCCTATCAAACTATCAACATCATTTTTCACAGAATTAGAAGAAAACTATTCTAAAATTCATAAGAAACCAAAAAAGAGCCTGAATAGCCAAAGTAATGCTAAGCAAACAACAACAACAACAAAAACAAAGAAAAACTGGAGGCATCACATTATGTAACTTCAAACTATAGTACAAGACTACAGTAAGTATAACAGCTTGGTATTGGTACAAGAGCAGACACATAGACCAATGGAATGAAATAGAAAATCCAGAAATAAAGCTGCATATCTACAGCCATCTGATCTTTGACAAAGTTGACAAAAATAAGCAATGAGGAAAGGACTCCCTATTCAATAATTGGCACTGGGATTGCTGGCTAGCCATACGCAGAAGAATGAAATGGGGCTCCTACTTTTGCCATATACAAAAATTAACTCAATATGGATTAAAGATTTAAATATAAGACCTCTAACTATAAGAATCCTAGAAGAAAACCTAGGATATACTCTTCTTGATATTAGCCTTAGCAAAGAGTTTTTGACTTAGTCCTCAAAAGCAATTGCAACAAAAACAAAAACTGACAAGTGGGACCTAATTAAAGAGCTTCTGCACAGCAGGAACTATCAACAGAGTAAACAGACAACTTACAGAATGTGAGAAAATATTTGCCAGCTATCATCCAACAAAGGTTTAATATCCAGAGTGTATAAGGAACTTAACTCAAAAAGTATTACTGATTTTTTTAATAGTTTGGAAAAGAATAACAAAATGTACTCTCAATAATTTGGAATATTTATTTTCAATTTTATTCTTCATCACATAGTATTTGTATAAACATTCAATGTTTAATAACATAGAATAATGCATAAGTACTGTAAATATTTATCAACAAATGCCATATTATGTACAATATTTCAATTTTAATATAAGGCTTCACACAGATAATGAAAATTAATATTTTCATGAAAAACTACTTTATTGGCTCCTATTTCAAGCATATAACCATAGAACTTATCCCTTAATGTTTCCAGGTTTCAAAATTCTCATTAAAGGTTGTTTTGTATAATTAATCTCCATTAAGTATACTACAAGTGGTGTGGGTAAAAAAAGTAGTTTAGAAAAGTGACAATAAAAATCAATATTGAAAAACTTGTATAAAAAACTAATTTAAAATAGAACATCATGATATTGCTCAATTTGGCAACTATGTACAACCCTGCTCATCTGTGAACCACAAACCTATAAACAATCTTGAAAGTCCAGAGTAACCTCTGAGAGTTGAGGGCACTTCTCTCAAACTTGATCTTAACTTTGCTAGTCATCTGATTTACCCACATTATCTGTTCTGTCTTTGTCTTGCTATTCTTATTTAGCACCCTTTTCTCTTTCTCTGTGATATCCTAAAATCACATCCTGATCCTGCCGTTTTGAAAACTTTTCAGTAAATGCTGAGTTCACCCAACCACTACTACCATCCAGTCTTATCCTTGGATTTAAAACATAGCCTAGTGCCGGGCACGGTGGCTCACGCCTGTAATCCCAGCACTTTGGGAGGCCGAGGAAGGCACATCACCTGAGGTTGGGAGTTCGAGACCAGCCTGACCAAAATGAAGAAATCCAGTCTCTACTAAAAATACAAAATTAGCCAGGCATTGTGGCGCATGCCTGTAATCCCAGCTACTTGGGAGGCTGAGACAGGAGAATCGCTTGAACCTGGGAGGTGGAGGTTATGGTGAGCTGAGATCGTGCCATTGCACTCCAGACTGGGCAACAAGAGTGAAACTGTCTCAAAAATAAACAAATTAAAAATAATGATAATAAAACATAGCCTATAGAACAAATGTGGCCTCCTGACCCAAAGGTGTGGCTAAACTTATATTCTAAGCCAAAAAAGTTTTACCTTTATAGCTACTATACACCAATTTGAAGAAAGCATGAATGGCAGTAGAGAGATGTTTTGTGTTTACTTCCTGCAGATGGCAGTTTGCAATGACATGAGAATAAGTTTGTCCAAATGAGAAAAAATTATAGATCTGCCCAGCTAACACTTTCACTGAAGAAGTTTCACCAAAATTTGCAAAACAGACCCACATCATTTCATGGAGGAGGAAATGACCAAGTATATGAATATAATACTTGTTTGCCCCTTTAGTCATTGCCACTTTATACAATATAGATAGTAGATCAGGGATATACATATTATATTTGTTTTACTATAGTCAAACATCAGCGTCATGGAAAGCTGACAGTGATACTAGGCTGCTTTCAAAAATCAACGTTTTCTGTAGCTTAATTCAGTTTTTGATGTCTAATGACTGATGAGGTTGTTTTATCTAATGGGTATAATTAGACACCTTATATAGTAAAATTGAAACTGCAAGAGCAATACAAGTACATTGCGTATTTATTCAAATAATTTTAATACATTCGTTTAAACTGTCAAATGCGTGAAGCAAATAGAAAATGAAAACTGAAAGAATTTTAAGATCAAGAGAAACCCAGAGTTTGTAGAACCTCAGGCATAGATGAATAAAATGCAGTCACAATTTCATAGAAAAGTTACAGGTTTTCATGACTAGAAATCATAATATAGGTTCTTGAGGCTATATTTGACTAGTGAATTTTAGCCTGTGACTGTGGTATTAAGTATCTTACATACCAGTGTGTTCAACTCTCAGAAGAAGTTGATTGAGTCGACAAGAAACAATATGCACCAAGAAACCTGCCATGCTAACATTTTGAAAACAATCAAATGGCACCCAGAATCATCCTGAAATTTTTAGTTATGTAGGAGACACAAATCTGTGCAATACGTAAATCTACCTTAGTCTGTGAAAGGATATATTCTTTTATAAAAATCTCAAGTTTGACAATGAGCATACTTGAGCCTTGAATATTGAATGTGCATGCATTCTCAGAGATGTATGTATGTCTAAGGTCAAAACTCAGATGTACCTTGACTAAACCCTCCTTTCTCACTTTTCTCCAGAAGACTTCAAATACCTATCTCACATTTATTTGATTAATGGCTAAAACTAAGTCAACAAGTAATCATTTTAAAATAATAAACAGGTTAAATTAAACTCTTCTGGTTTGCTTTCTGCATCACTATGAAGAATTTTTTTTTTTTTTTTTGAGACAGAGTCTCGCTCTGTCGCCCAGGCTGGAGTGCAGTGGCACCATCTCGGCTCACTGCAAGCTCTGCCTCCCGGGTTCATGCCATTCTCCTGCCTCAGCCTCCCGAGTAGCTGGGACTACAGACGCCCACCACCACGCCCGGCTAATTTTTTTTTTTTTTGTACTTTTAGTAGAGACAGAGTTTCACCATGTTAGCCAGGATGGTCCCGATCTCCTGACCTCGTGATCCCCCTGCCTTGGCCTCCCAAAGTGCTGGGATTACAGGCATGAGCCACTGCACCCAGCCTCGATTTTAAAAATAGGGTACAGTGTATACTGCTCAGGTGATGGGTGCATCAAAATCTCACAGATCACCACTAATAACTTACTCATGTAACCAAATACCACCTGTACTCCAATAACCTGTGGAAAAATAAACTAAAAATACAAAAAATAAAATGTATGTTTTTTGCAGATTATAATTTATTAGCCCATTAATTTTTTTAATAATGTAAGCTATTGGAACATCACTGCAGTAGAAAAGTACCATTCTCTTTATGTAAAAAGGAGAAGAAAGGTCCACATCTTTGGAGGATACATTCATTTTATCAGTGCATAACAATAGATGGTTAATAATGCCCCAGGAGTCAAATAACACAAAAAGGGTAGACAACGTCAGATTAGATTGTAGTTTGGGATACTTCTCAAGTTTGAAGAATATTGTAATGTGTATTTTGAAGACTATAATATTTGTAACAAAATAATGAAGAGGTGCTTTGAACACATGAAAGCACTATAATTCCTCTGTCTAATCACTTTGCACAGGTATTCTTCGACCCTGTCCTGAAACTTGATTGTTAGATTAACATTTAAATTACTACAGTATGATGTCATTACATACCACAGAGAGCTCCATTTGGAAAGGTCATTTTAATTAGAGATAATATGAATACTAAAACTACATCTCCGGCCTACTCACATCTTTCCATCATGTCTTCTAAAATCCTTCTTTCTTGGTAATTAAATCCCTAACAACAAACTCAATTTGCAAGAAGCTTCCAAAATCTCTTTACCTTAATTGAATAATTGTTTCCACAACAGGCATAATAACGGAGCCTCAAAGATGTCATTGTCATAATCCTGGAACCTGTGAATATGTTACCTTACATGGCAAAAGGGACTTTACACATGTGATCAAGTGAAAGACCTTGAGGAGGGGAAACTACCCTGACTTATCCAGGTAGATCCAATATAATCACATGGGTCTTTAAGAGATAAGATGTTTTGATAAAAGCAGAAAGCCAACCGGGATGATGCAGTGCGAGAAAAACTAGATCCAGAAATGCTTGCTTTGAAGATGGAGGAATGGGGCCCTGACCTACAGAGATGCCTACTCAGGAGGTGCTGTCAGCCTCTACCATGTGTGGGAGGGTAGCTGGATCCCAGTCTCCAGTGACAATGTAGCTGATCTACATGACAAGTATAGTGGATCTATCCCTTGAAGGAGGGTGGATGTGACTGCTTGCATTTTGGGGGTAACTGTCATTGGTAATACGGATCAGTGCTCCATCCAGGTATAGTGGAGGGGTCTTCAACTGTATCAGTACTTTTTTAAAGCTCTGGAACTTTGACCTCTATGGGTTACCAGTTGTTAATGAGCTATTGCAGAGGTGTCTGTTTTACTTTCTTGAATGTTAACATTATACTATTCAATACTTGAAAAAAAAAATGTTTTCTGTATGCCACAAACTAAGCCTGGAACTAGAAACACAGCAATAAACAAAGCCCCAAACTATTGTTCTATTTTCTTCATAAAATTACCCCAAATATACTTTTCTCTCCTATTTTTAGTGTTCCTTTCTTCAATATTTGACACTGTTACCTGCTTTCTGGCACTTACTTATTTTGCTTCTTTACCACTTATCACCTTGATTTTAACACCAGCCTCCTGAACAGTCTCTGAGTCCCAGCCATCAATTCTGTACTCTGCTGCAAAGAGTCCTTTCTGAATTGTGAATTTTTTCTCATCCTCTGGTTAAAAATCATTCATTGACTACCCATAGCCTCCAGAATAAGTTATTAAGTCCCTATAATTTTATATAAGGGATTTTATATGTACTTAGGTAATTATTCACATTTTTATCTCTAAAATGCTGCTTTTATAGCCTGTGTGCCAGTCATTCTGAACTTCTTTTGCCTGGATATCATTCTGAATATCTCTTTCTGGGACCTAAACAAGTCGGACCTAAATAAAATAGTTTCTGCACAGCAAGAGCAACTATCAACAGAGTATGGACAACCTGCAGAATGGGAGAAAATATTCACAATCTATGCATCCAACAAAGGTTTAATATCCAGAATCTATAAGGAACTTAATTCAAAAGCAAAAAACAACCCCATTAAAAAGTGGGAGAAAGACATGAACAAATTCTTTCATACATACAAGTAGCCAACAACCATATGAAAAAAAGCTCCACATCACTAATCATCAGAGAAATGCAAATCAAAACCACAATGAGATACCATCTCACACCAGTCAGAATGGCTATTATTAAAAAGTCAATAAATAATAGGTGCTGGTGAGGTTGCAGAGAAAAGGGAACACATACACTGCCAGTGGGAATTTGTTTAAATTAGTTCAGCCACTGTAGAAATCAGTTTAGAGATTTCTCAAAAAACTTAAATCAGAATTATCATTCAACCCAGCAATCCCGTTACTAGGTATATGCCCAAAGGAAAATAAATCATTCTACCAATAAGACACATGCATTTGTATGTTCATTGCAGCATTATTCACCATAGCAAAGACATGGAATCAACATAGGTGCCCATCAACAGTGGATTGGATAAAGAAAATGTGATACATATACACCATGGAATACCACACAGTCATAAAAATAAAATAATTCCTTAGCAGAAACATTAATGCAGCTGGAGGCCATTATCCTAAGCAAATTAATGTAAGAACAGGAAACCAAATGTCACATGTTCTCACTTATAGAACAATAGACATTGAGAATCACTAGAGGGAGTGAGGGAGGCAAGGGTTGAAAAACTAACCTTTGGGGACTATTCTCAGTACCTGGCGATGGGATTAATCAAGACCCAAAACCCCAGTACATATACACATGTAACAAACCTGCACATGTACTCCCGACTCTAAAACAAAAGCTGAAATTATTAAAAACATACAAAAACGTTGTTGCAGATAGGTAGGTTTACTCTAGAGCATTTGTAAAAATTATTATGCTACGTTGTACATGCTTCCTTGGGACTGCCTAGATAGTAAAATCATGCTTCTATTTTTTTCCATATTTTGATTGCCATTGGCTTTAGTAAAACTGATTAGATTAGTAGAACAACTAATCTAGTTGTTCTAGACACATTCTTAATTTCTTCAGACACCCAATAAATACATTATTGTATTAATCTATACTTTTATGATTTATGATGGACTCTTGCTAGGATTAATATATTAAAGTTTCTGTTTAACATAACATAGTGTGACATGACACTTATTAAAAAAGAAATCAAAGATTGAAATATAAAAATGTTTATTTTATCCCCAAAGACCTTGTTAGTGACAGCATGTAATTTGAAGGTAACGTGAAGATGCAACAAGGAGGTACAATAATTTGCTAACTAAGGATTCCCTTTTCCCATATGACTTTTCTTTCTTCCTTCCTTCCTTTCCTTCTTTTTTTCTTTTTTCTTTCTTTCTTTCCTTCCTTTCTCTTTCTTTTTCTTCAATACTGAATAGAAGCAAAACCTGAGCTTTTCATTTTTATCAAATTACTGACTCGATGGTAGTTTTCAATAATTTCATTGATCTTTTGTTCCATGGTTTTAGAGCTGAGGCTTTCTTTCCCTTGTGAAGCTACACATGACAGGAAGATATATTGATCCAATTTATCTTAATTCCTCATGTCTCAGTACAATATTTTTGCAACTTTATGCAACTGAGATGTGGAAATTTTTTAAAGCAGAAAAAAGGAAGAAAATTTACCATAGACTACATAGTATTGATATTATGAGGGAAAGCAGGCAGTTTTCAAACCTTTATTTATTTGCTTTGCATAGATCAAGCTAACTTCAATATTAGCTATATATTCCAGAAGGAAACTTCTCACGTTATTTTGAGAGTTCATTGTGGTCTTAAACGCAGTGTTTCATGTAGTGCACAACCCAATAAAATACTAAAAAGCCAGTGATAAAATTCTCTTCCATAAAGTAGAATTCAGCAACCAAATCAACCAGAAAACTTGAGCCATGATGACATTTTCAGTGACCCCAAAGCAATCGCCTTTATGGTTCAAGCAATGTGTAATGTTGGTGTTTAACCCTATTGAGAATGTTGGTCACGACTTACACTGGCTTTCTATTATCTCTGTTTTAACAGCTGGAATTTCTGCCTGAGTAGTGTGTTTTAAATTTAAAAGGCATTCCCAGCATTAACATGTGGGCTGCATTTTCTGTTTCAATGTGATATGGAGAAATTTTTCAATGGCTTCTCTTGTGCTTGAAAGTAACCACTAATGTGGGCAGATACATGTGTCTGTCAGAAAAAAGTGTCTCTAAAATATAAATGGTAGATCTCTCCAGGGGAGTTTTCCTCTTTGGGCCTTGAGGGATGCCCTCAGAACCCAGAATGTCTGTGGTAAGCTCTTTTCGACAGGTGTGAGTCATTGCACAGCAGGTGCCACATGTGATGCCAACTCAATAAAATGAGTTTCCCATTTGTAAATCAGCTTCATGAACTAATACTCTTTTGCTTGTCTTCAGTGCCATAGGGATATTCTGAAATATGCTAGAAGTCAACTAGAATATTATAAGTACTACAGGACAAAACAAACAATCATTTATTTTATTAGCTATTTCTAGTGATTAGGAAAAATAGTAAAATACACAATGTTCATTACATATATTTCTGCCAACAATGGAAAATAGGTGAAAGTGCAGTATTGTTACACAATGTCTCAAATAAATAAACATAATATGCAGTTTAATTCTTTAAATAATAGCTACATGATAATGTGTATAACAAATTAATTCTGAATGTGATTCACTCTACCATATCTTTTTTGTTTCTCCTGCCAAGCAATAAAAATATTTATTAAAGGATATTTGAAACCTTTCCCAAAGACTAAATAAACAAGCAGAAAAAATACAAAACAGGAGTAAAATAGCAAGTAAATATTTTGACTGTAAGGCTAATAGTTTTGCATTTTAATTGCGTTTTAACATTTTTTTCTCTAAAAAAGTAATATATTTGTATCATACATTAAAATTTAGGAAATACTTTTGCATGTATTTATCTTGTTTCATCCTCACGGTAAACCTGTGAAGTAAACAGGGTCAATAATATTTTCCACAAATATTATTTTCTTTTTAGAGGTGAGGAATCAGAGGCAGGGTGAGGCTTGGCAAGTCTCAGTGTCTTCTAACTAACAATTCCATATTCATTTGCAGTTTTACCCACTTTACTTATTGTAGTTGGAGAGGAGTATATGTGTTTGCGTTGTTAGGTGTGGTTGAATGTCATTTATAAGGTACTTAATGCATAATCAAGGCCCAAAAATATATATTAAGATTTTTTTCAAAAAAATCTTATTTTATCAAATTGCATTTTCAAACGTTTGTAAGTCCTTTAATACCATTGGAATAGCTGGCAGATGTTATTAGCATTTTTTAATAATTCAGCACATAAATATAATACATGTAAGTAAACTCAATTGTCTTATTCCTAAAACTTTTAATAAATATTTGCTTGAAGCTATATTTGAAGGCAAAATTCTGTTTTCACTTCCCTTGTGTATCCTCTAATTATTACGTCAGGATTCCATTCTCTTCCTCACCCTAAGTGACCTAACTTTATGCCAATATTACAACTCCCACACTCACCCTCTCAAACTCTTTAATTCCACATTGACAGCTCTGCCTACTGGCTAGGTATGCCACGGTGTCCTAGAGTATTTGAAGCAAATATCCTTCAAACCTTATGTTTTTCTGAAGCCTGCTTTTACTGGAAAAACATCATTTGCTGCCTATGTCATCCTCACCAACTTTTCAAATATGATCATGCCAGCCTCCTTTTCAAAAACCCTGCAGTGCTTTTGTTTTTGAAGGAAGTCTAACCTCAAGAATGGGCAGCTCAGGCCCTTCACTGTTTGCCCTCAGGCTTTGTCCCTCATAGTTTCCCCTCCCCTCTCCCTCATCCAATCCACACTCCTGCACAAGTGACTTTCTTTAAAGTTGCATGCATGATAATACTCATAGCTGTTTGATTATTGGGAAGGGGAATTCCATTCGGTTTTTTGCTTATTCGTTTGTTTTCCTACAACATTAACTCCTACTTATCCAAAAGAAAATGCTGTTTAAAAATGACTTTGCTGGAAAAAAAAAATGACTTCACTGATATTCTCTAAGAAATCTCCAATCAAAATTTCTCCCATGGATGATGCTGTATATCTCTTGTAGCATTATTTACATTGTATTGTGATTATGCACTCATGGATAATTTAACAAACACTTAAGAAGCTTATGTTCCAAGCTTACTGTGTTTCAGGTATTCAATCAATATTGAATATAGGAAGTATGATGCATGCTAGTCTTTTTTAAACCCCATGAAAATTGAGAAAATAGACTCTAATTGTCAATTTAACATAGAAAAGCCAAAATGGGCCGGGTACGGTGGCTCATGCTTGTAATCCCAGCACTTTGGGAAGCCGAGGCGGGTGGATCACTTGAGGCCAGGAGTTCAGGACCAGCCTAGTCAACATGGTGAAAACCTGTCTCTACTTAAAACACAAAAATTAGCTGGGCATAGTGGTGCACACCTGTAATGCCAGCTACTCAGGAGGCTGAGGCATGAGAATGACTTGAACCCAGGAGACAGAGGTTACAGTGAGCCAAAATCCCGCCACTGCACTCCAGCCTGGGTGACGTTAAAAAAAAAAGAAAAGCCCAGATGAATACCACGGAATACTATGCAGCCATAAAAAATAATGAGTTCATGTCATTTGCAGGGACATGTATGAAGCTGGAAACCATTGCCCTTAGCAACCTAAGACAGGAACAGAAAACCAAACACCACATGTTCTCACTCGTAAGTGGGAGTTGAACAATGAGAACACATGGACACAGGGAGGGGAACATCACACACCGGGGCCTGTCAGGGGCTGGGGGAGATGGGAGGGAGAGCATTAGGACAAATACCTAATGGATGTGGAGCTTAAAACATAGATGACGGACTATTAGGTGAAGCAAACCACCATGGCACATGTATACCTATGTAGCAAACCTGCACGTTCTGCTCATGTATCCCAGGACTTAAAGTAAAATAAAAATGAAAGAAAAAATTGATGTGAAATCTTTGAAAATTAAAATGTTATACGAAACCAAAAGTTACTATGGCCAAGGAAGAAATTTCAAAGACAAATGGGCAAAGTTCATTACACAAAATAACTGAGTTGAACAAAATAGAAAAGGAAGTGGCCACATAGTCATTGCATGAAAACATTGATTATTAATGGTTGTCTATTGGAACTCTGAAATAAATTTTCACTGCATTGCCAAAAAAAAGAAAAAAAAGAAAAAAAAAAAAAGCCCAAGTGAACAGGTTTCTGCTATTAATATATAATATAGTAGGATATTTTTTTCTTCAATATATTAACTATATTTTAATAGCTAATAACAACATTTTAATGGTTGAATTATATTTGGTAGATAAATAATTTCAATGGCAGAAATAAAATAAAGTTTTGAGAAGGAATGTCTCTCTGTATCTGAAATGTAAAAATTAATTAATGTAGGGTTAAATTTCTTGGAAAGTTAAATTTTTATTAGAAAAAAATAAATATAAATTAAAAAATATATCTTAATTTGAGTTGGAAACACTAACGGGTAAGTTAAAAAAATAATATAATATGATTAAGGGTTATCATATTTGTTCTAGAAAGGTGGCACAATCTCAGCTTACTACAACCTCCCCCTCCCAGGTTCAAGCCATTTTCCTGCCTCAGCCTCTCGTCACTAGGATTACAGGCACATGCCACCATGCCCGGCTAGTTTTTGTACTTGCAGTAGAGACGAGATTTTGCCATGTTGGCCTGGCTGGTCTCAAACTCCTGACCTCAAGTGATCCACCCACCTCAGCCTCCCAAAATGCTGGAGTTACAAGCATGAGTATGAGTCATTGTACCCAGCCCAAGCAAGTGGTATTAATGGGTAATTTCCAAATGACGTTTTTGGCAATTGGTGTTAATAACTATCTATAATAAAGACCATATAGGTGGCAAATTTGCGAGAACATGTTCTAGCTCAATAACATATAAGAAATTAATGTGGCTGATTGTATTTTCCAGCATTGGCTATAACAACAAGGTCTTTTATCCAATGTCCTCTTCTGTGCAGGTGCCACCTATTCACTCCCCAATTAATTGGTGACTTTTTTTTTTTTTTTTGGAATGCTCCCTCTTGGAATCCAGCTACCATGTTAAGAAGCTCAAAGCACTTGGAGGGGCCATGTGTAGGTTTTCTAATTCAAAGTCTCAGTGCAGTGCAGCCTTTGAATCATCACAGCACAATTTCCAGACATCTAAGTGAAGATGTCTCCAGACGATTCCAGTCTGCAGCCATTTGAATATTCTCAGCTGAAGCCCTAAAAATTGTGGATGAGAAACAAGCCACCTCTACCAGGCTCTGAATAAATCCCTGACCCACAGAATCCATTACTATTAAAAAATAGTTTTACACAATTGCATTTGAGGGTTTTTTTTTTTGTTGTGTGGCAATAGAGCATGGTTTAAATAGAAGAAATATTACTTAGAGGTAGTTATTACTATTAACATAATTACTAATAAGTCAAATGAAGCATTTACTATCAAAATAAGACAAATAAAAAGTTATAATAACGTCTGGGAGTGAAAGAATGTTAACAGAGATGTTCTCACACTTTGCTAATAAAAGTGTGAAATGGTATAACCTGTGGAAAATAATTTAGCAATAACTGTCAAAGGTCTTAAGAGAATTATCACCTAAATGAAACAATGCATTGTCATTTTACTGGTAAGAGTCATTGAAATGAAAACACATATATAGAGATATATAGGTAGATACACAAAATTGACATAGGTATCGAAAGTTAGGCAATCATATATGCTTTTTCAGAGCATTAATTAGTGCCATGATTTTGAAGATTAATTTAGGGGTGCCTATTAATTTCAAAGAGAACTTGATCATTTTATCAAGAAATTCTCCTGATTAGAATCTATTCTAAACCAAGATAAATGCATAAGTCTTTACCAGCCACATGTGTGGAACAGAAAAAAAGATATCCAACATAAACATTGATCAATACAGAAAAAATAATTTATAGTACAGTCATATATTGAATGCATAAATCTTATTGTAATTTTTCAAATCACCCAAGAAAACAATAATATATTTCAGCAGGGTTTGGTGCTGGGGTCCAGGACAGTAGCTTTTGAAAACTTTTGCTATGCATTTGATATCTTTCTGAGTGTTTGGACTTTTGCAATTTTTGCATTGTACATATATTGAATTTTTAAACAAATAATTTTAACTACATTAATTTTTTCACTTGAAAGACAACTCTGTAAAGGGGCTTTGCACTAGTACCAAACTCACACATTTGTTGCAAAGATTATATGATGTGATCTGTGTTAAAAATGTCTTGTTCAAAGTAAGTGATTTAAAAAAATGATTATCATTTTTGGAAAAGAAAGAACGTTAAAATGTAAATGTAATATATATATTTGGAGGTTGTTTCAAACTAATAGTTACAAAGGGAACTGAGTGTCTTATTGAGGTTTATATTTCATAGCATGTTCCCAGTGAATCACCTATAAAAGTCACTCCTGGACCGACTGTTTACAACATTGACTCTTGCTCATATCCCAGATTTACTAACCGAAATTCTTATCTTTATTTATGACAAGCTCCTAACTAAAGTTTCTACAGTCAAGTCAAACTACAACAACCTTAACAATGCTTCCCAATTAGTTTAGAAGCATCTTTTAAATTAATAATTGGAGAAGCTTTCACATTCTGAACACTCACAAAAATATCTATTCCATAAAAATATATCTCTAAATACTTGTTGAAATATTAGTACATTCTGTGTTCTACAAAAAAGCTTTCAGATTTTTCAAAATCTAAAATTTTGAAGTATAGATTTACAAAATTTCTAGAGGTGTTAAATGTGAATAGTTAATTGTAAATGAGGATACAAGACAAAGACGATACATACCGAGCAAATAAGGTGTTGTATCATTTTATTTGAGGGTGTAGCTCAAAAGTTTTTATAGCTCTATAGCTTATCAAAGTTAGACATAAGAACAGTTAAACACCTTTCACTGATAAAATATACGATGATCCCAATCAAACCTCATTATTTTGGGAAAGAATAAAATTTAATTTAAGAACATTTCATAGATTTTGTATTTCTATACTTAATAATTTTCTTTAAAATAATTATTTATGAAGAAATTCATTAGAAACTATATTTTTCATATATTAGGTTGGTGCTAAATAACTGTAGTTTTACCATTACTTTTCATGGCAAAACCTGCAAGTTATGTTTGCACCAACCTACTACATATATATAAATTTTAAATTCTAACAACACATTTGAGAAACTTTCCGTCAAATGAACACCTAAATAATCTGGAATCAGCAATTCCAGATTGTTTCATATATTGCTCTTACTTAATAAAAACCTGCAAATTGGCTCCCTGGAAAACAACTTTATTAAACTGATCAAAAATCTTTCTCTTACAAAGAAGACATTATAAAATAATATTGATAGTATTTTGGGTTAAATTCTTTTGCTCTGGGGACTGCCATTTTCAAATGCAACATAAAATAGAAGATTTAAATGCATTAATAAGCAGTATGCAATCTCAAAGCAAACTTTATTAAATTAGAATTCATCCAATATGCTTTCAACTTATCAATACATTAACACAGCAAAACTGACTAGCGTCTTAGCTGACTTTATTTTTAATAATAACAAACATGCTTCTTGCTCTAAAAAATTAAACTGTGTTCTATATACTTTCAAGATAAATGTGCACAATAAACCAAATTTACTTTTGTTCTTCCTGATGCCAATTACCATTTTGTGCCACACTTTGGCAGAATTGGCTAATTTGAGGATAGATTTATTTATCCTCAACTGTATTTCTTTTTTTTTTTTTTTTTTTTTTGAGACGGAGTCTCGCTCTGTCGCCCAGGCTGGAGTGCAGTGGCGGGATCTCGGCTCACTGCAAGCTCCGCCTCCCGGGTTCACGCCATTCTCCTGCCTCAGCCTCCCAAGTAGCTGGGACTACAGGCGCCCGCCACTACGCCCGGCTAATTTTTTGTATTTTTAGTAGAGACGGGGTTTCACCGTTTTAGCCGGGATGGTCTCGATCTCCTGACCTCGTGATCCGCCCGCCTCGGCCTCCCAAAGTGCTGGGATTACAGGCGTGAGCCACCGCGCCCGGCCAACTGTATTTCTTATGGATGTAATTCTAATAGCATTCTCTTACAAAAAATCTTTATCTAAAAATAAGTGTCCTTTTAGTCCATATTGTGTCCATTTAACAAACTAAATGTTAGACCTTGAAAAAGTTCTACTCTTTTTCTCATTGAGGATGCCACTTTTGTTCATCTGTGTGACTCAGTTAATACATGATTTTGCACAATAATATCCTAATTGACCTGTAGGCATTTATTATCCAAAACATGTTTGAGTTAACTTGCCATAAACTGTTGCTTACTTAATAAAGAAATTATTGAATTTTTGGCCTGGCACAGTGGCTCACGCCTGTAATCCTGGCACTTTGGGAGGCCAAGGCAGGCAGATCACCTGAGGTCAGGAGTTCGAGACCAGCCTGGCCAACATGGTGAAATCCTGTCTTTACTAAAAAAATACAAAAACTAGCTGGGCATGGTGGCACAAGCCTGTAATCCCAGCTGCCCAGGAGGCCGAGGCAGGAGAATTGCTGGAACCCGGCAGGCAGAGGCTGCAGTGAGACGAGATCATGCCACTGCACTCCAGCGTGGGAGACAGAGCGAACCTCCGTCCAAAAAAAATAAAATAAATAAAGAAAGAAAGAAAAGAAAAAAGAAAGACAGAAACTATTTAATTTTTAATTTATTCTTCAATATTTATACACCAAACCTCACCTGTATATTCTAACAAAAATATCAGATACTCTAAGTGAATGTAACATCTTCGTCTATAGTTAGTTAGCAATATTATTTATATCATTGGTCTTTCGTGATGTAAAATTCCATGGTTAATATACTTAACTTCATCTTCATGTACATTTTAATTTGTATCCTAATATTTTTTCAAAATTATTAAATGTTTTTCTTTCCCTCTATATATGTAACATGTCATTTTCTGTGTCTATCATAAAGTCAATATTCAACTTTAAAGTAGCAACAAGTTGAGCTCATGTTGGAGCCTTTCTTTGTATAGATTACATTGATGTTAAATTATTTCATGATGTGTTTATATCATATGATTTAATTGTTTATGTGGGGACCATAATATCAATACTATATTTGGTAATGTGAAACTTTCAGCTGAAATATTTTTTCTCATGATACCTGTTACTATTCAAAAGTTAGGCATTATGTTTTATAGTAGTTCTCTAACATATGTGTGTGTGTGTACACACACACGCATACATATAAAACGTGTGTTAAAGATATACAACACAAATAAATCTAAAAGGTCAGGCATAATAAGAAAATAAAAATGTTGTCTGATCTAATAAACTAGTAAGAAGAAAATGTGGGGGAGGAAGAATAAGAAGAGGAGAAGAATAGAAATAAGAATGAGAATAAGAATCAAGATTTTTTATAAAGAGAGTTAACTCAAGTGGCAGATAAGAAAGATGAAGTTTCTGGTTTGATTTTATAGCCTTTCAACCTCAATTTCGTTACTTGTTAAATATATATACATACATATATATACACACATATACATATATATATATTTATGTTTCTGTTACTGCTATCTTCTGTGACTATTATGAGAATCAGAGGAAGGAATGCAAGTAAAAGTCAACAGAGAAACTTCAGGAACTAGAAAATTTAAATACATGATATAAGCAAGTATACAAAGAAAACTGATGTCTTAAAAATCCAAGGGTTTGCAAGCAGATATTTTATATCAAACCCAATGGTGCATAATGCTAATTTTACTCAGCATTATTTTCTTTTTGTTGTTATTCTACAGTTAATTTTAAAACCTTGTTCAATATTGGAAGAAGCCAATATGGTATAAGAATGTATATCTATATGGGTGGTTGTATTAGTCCGTTTTTATGCTGCTGATGAAGACATACCTGAGACTGGGCAATTTACAAAATAAAGAGGTTTAATTGCAACATGGCTGAGGAAGCCTCACAATCATAGCAGAAGGCAAGGAGGAGCAAGTTATGTCTTACATGGATGGCAGCAAGCAAAGAGAGCTTGTGCAGGAAAACTCACCCTTATAATAACCGTCAGATCTCGTGAGACTTACTATCATGAGAACAGCATGGAAAAGGCCTGCTCCCATAATTCAATTACCTCCCACTGGGTCCTGGTGGAATTCAAGATGAGATTTGGGTCAGGAGACAGCCAAACCATATCAGTAGTATTTCAAAGCACTATGGATAAATGATAGATTCTTCCATAAATGTTGTTTGGATAACTGGATTGTCATCCAAAAAATAATAATAATAATAAAGTTTGATTATCACTTCATGTCCTACAACCTTGTACTAAAATTTCAGATTGATCAACAATCTAAACTTAAGATATAGGACAATTAAAGTAATTAAAAAACATTAAAAGTTTGTATAAAACCTTTGTGGGAAATGCCATTTATAATAAAATAAGACACAAAATCCAGAAGACATTAAAAAATTGATAAATTTTATGACTTAAAATTTTAAAGAAAAAAATCCTACATGAATAACATAAACTTTTTTTCACTCAAAAAACAAAGGCTTTCTTTCTTATTTTAAACATAAAAATCAGTGAAAGTTGAATTTTTAAAATGAACAAAGGAAAAGAACAGTCCAGAGAGAAGGAAACTCAAATGACTCTTAAAATGTAAAAAGATACTATCTCAGCCATAAATATATGAAATGGAAATTAAAACAAACTAAGAAGCAGTTATATTCTTAGTCTTCTGACTGTAGTCCCAAATAACATTTCCCATTAAAAGGAACAAGTGCTCCTTGGAGAAGTGGCTGACCTCAGACCTTGGTCCATAATGTAAGATGGGCTTAGAATCTTTTCATTCTAGAAAGCAAGGAAACTATTAAAACTATTAGGATTATATCACAAAGACTTCGATATCAACTTGAAGAGATACCTACTGGGAAAAGACAGGACAACTTGTTCATAATAAGGATAATAACTGCAACAGATTGAAATAAGCCTAAACAAGCATAAGAATATAAAAAATTCAATGTTGGCAATATGTGCTAGAAATATTCTGTGAGGCCACATCAGAAAATGTCATATTATAATTAAATATCGAGTTCTGAGATTAAGAAAAGAAATTCAGTATTTTAATTCTTTGAAAAAATAGCACAGGCAGTCTTCGTATGAATGTAATAATATCTTTGGTATTGATTTTTATTTATTCACTCTAAAATCACCTGTGTTTTATTTTTTTAAGTCAAATTTAATGTGATAGAAAATTCATCACATATGGCTAGTCAATCCCTACCTGGGTCACCAAATTAACCTGACTTTAAATTTATAATTCATGTAGAAAATGATATAGCCTTCTATAATAAATTACTTAAGTAGCTTACCTGGAATCTCTTTACATAAATAAACTACACACTATTCAAAGCAGGCCCATACTTAAAAAGCAGAATAAAATGAAGTTTCGTAGTAATTGACATCATGGTCTAGATATCATAATTTCAATCACTTAATAAAATACCAAGAACTTTAATAAATGTAAGTATGATTGGCTATTTTTTAACAGTTACACACATGCCTTCACTATTATAGATATTTTAGGACAAATTTTATAGAAAACAATAGTAGTGATAAGCATTTATTCAGTGTAAACAGACAATTAACTTATGATATTTACTATGCACTGCATGATAAGGCATAGCATATCCAATTTGCATTTGGGTTACACCATAACGGTCTCTTAGAAAAAAAATATGCTATATATATTATAATTTAATATGGCTAAATAATTATATATAATAAAAGTAGGCATTTATATATTTTAATATGTAAGATAAATAGGAGAATGCTAGAAATAAAATGAGTAAACATTTATGTATACACTTTTAAAAATTTAACTGAAGGATGGAGGTAATTATTTAGACGTTTAGACATGGCAAGGAAAGAACCATCTTGACTCCAAGTTAACTTTAAGATATGGATTTTCTCTTCTGTGTCTTTCCTGACCACCTTCTCTGGGTTTGACTGCTCTGCTGTTATTCTGACCACATAGAATGGAGCAGGAATCAAAATTCTTTTTTTAGAACAAAGATGCTTTTTATAAAACCATGAATATCTACTTTTCATGGGAAGGAAGTCATAGTCTCGTTTTAGTATGCAGATAGGCTTTGGAATAATTCTTCAGTTCTAAATCCCTTCTTCCCTTTTACTTGGATGCATTTGAAAACTCTTCAATCCTATGAGTGTTCCTACTGCTGACTGAGTCATACTTGATCACAAAGGATCACAGTCCTGTGTGGAGAAGAAAGAAAGGAATTGCTGGTAAAAGAAAACATAAATCCACCATCTGCACAGTAAGAACTGGACAGCTGCGAGGGAAAGGACGCTTTCTCTAACAGCCGATTTGTTATTCAGCCCAGGCTGCAGCCATATAGCTCTCTTGGAGTTAAAAGTCTCAACAAAGGAAATTTTGGAAAACTAAGGTTAATGGGCAAAGTCTTTCATGATCATCAGAGGAGTCTAGGCTAAGGGCTTTTTGGTTGTTTCTCAGGGAGAGGAGAAAATGTACCTATATCATAGTGTACTATTCTTATACAGTTAAAGAAGAATTTTATTCCAAAATTATTTTCAAAGCTGATAACAATTAAATAATTATTTCTGATTTTATGATTTCAACGCCACAGTCTAACCTGTTCTAATCAGTTACATACTTGAAATGAGAAAACTTGCTCTATGAGTCTTGAGTGTGAGAGCATATTTTGCACCTTTCTTCTTGCTTCTGATTCCTCCTTTTATCAAGACACAAAAATTAGCTTATACTACAGAAGCAAAAGAGACATTATAATATCCTTAACGTATTTTCTTTTCTTGCATGATATTATGGTGGCTTATGCCTCTCTATCAATAACAGAATAGAATAGAAATATGTAAAACTCAGACATAGGTAACCAGCATGTGGTTCTGCTTCACTGGAACCACATGATCAGTGGTAAAAGAATGTAGAATAAACACAGTATCTAACACCAGCTTTTCAATTCAATGTGCACTTCACCACTCTGTGCACAGCGTATGTTAATTCTGGTAGGTCCTGCAAACAATTTCTGCAGAGCACTTTACAAGATACAAAATGTTTTTTTTCTAAATATTTTCCTTTATTGCTTCATCACAAATATTTAATAGAAGTATCTAAGTTCATGGTAATCCTCCAAAGAACAGCAGAGGGTAGAAACTGTGTTTTCTGGGCTCAACATTGGGAAGTACAATTAGTATAATGAGTGCCTCAGTGTGAAAAATCTCTATAATGAGGTACATAGTGTTATGAGAAGAGGAGAACATAGGAGCCTATTTCTTGTCCTGGAGGTGGTAGGGTGGTCTGGTTTGGGAAAGGGAGTGGTAATATTCTAGGATGCTTTTCCTAAGGAAGAAAAGAACCTACCAATTGGCTAAGAGTTCACATTAGGGACATTTTCTGTCTGTGGGGTATTGTGATAAGCATATTTCTTACTTGTTTATTGTGTTGTTACTACATCCTCATAGGATAATTTTATCCTCATTTTATAAATAAACTTTCTTAGATTCAGAGATTTTCAGAAACTTATGCAAATTTGCAACCTACTAACAGGCAGATCTTATTCCAAAATTTTTAAACCATTCCCCTATAATGGGAAGACATTCTAGAAGGAGAACAAAGCTTCTCATTCAAGACTTAGATAAAAATTAGCTGGGCATAGTGGTACACATCTGTAATCCCAGCTACTCAGGAGGCTGAGGCTTGAACCCAGGAGGTGGAGGTTGCAGTGAGCTGAGATTGTGCCACTGCACTCCAGCCTGAGTGACAGAGCAAGACTCCGTCTCAAAAAAAAAAAAAAAAAAGACAGATAAAAGTCTGTAGGACAGCAGTGAGTAGCCCAGATGGATTGTAACCAAACACATATAAGGAAAGTTTAATGAGCAAGAGGGAGAGAAGAGACTGAGAAGTTATATTAGAGCCAGACTCTGAAGGACACTAGCTATCTGAGATATACCATTTGAACTCTTCACTTAGTGTGCAATGGTAAACCTGGTTGTTTTGAAGAGACTTACTGGATGGCAAGATTAATTTGACAGCAGAGACATAGTGAGATTAAAAAGCATGTAAAAACAGTAAGGAAGTTAGTGATAGCAGTCAAAGATAATGATAGTCCTGGCAGGAGGAATAGAAAAAGAAATGGATTAGAAAAACAGTTTATGGATACAGCCAAAAGGATTCTGCTACTGATTCAACTTGGGGAAAAGTTAGGTTACAAAAATTAGGTGTTAAGCATGGATGAAAAGGAAAAAAGTAGAAGCATAGTAGAAATGAATGAAAGGACGGGTTTTTAAGAAAACCTGATAACATTTCATATGGGGAATGTGATTTGCCAATTTGTATGTTTTTTTAAATAATGGCAGAAAATAATAAAAACTCGATACAGCATATCAAAATGTATGTTAGCACTAAGATTCAGATTTGTGAACCAACATGCAATGGCAATAGTTGATGCCACTGAAGAATTTAGAAAATAAGTACAAAAAAGAAAGATATGGTGATGCTGCTGCTGCAGCTGGGTCTGCCGTTGATATGACAATGATAGCTATAGTCATACAACATTTACTATTTGCCAAGTAGTATTCTAGGTGCTTTATTTACATTAATTTAATCATCACAGCAACCCTATATGTGAGGTAAGCTCCATTTTATGGAGGAGGACACTGAGCCACCATCAGAAAGAGTAACCTGCCCCATGTTACACATCCAGCAAGAAACAGATTTTTAAGCCTACAGGTATGGATACACACACATATATACATGTGTGTATATATACAATTAATATCACCACTGTCATCAGTTTGGATTGCGTCCTTCCAGAGAGGAAAAGGTCTGCAAGACAATGTAAGCTGGTGAGAGTGTTTTTTGTTTTATTTTTTTCCAAAGAAAAGACTAAGATTGGGGTAATGTTCAATCAGTACTTTCAACTTGTCTCTGTTCTTTGAATTCTTTACAAAGAGGAAGGCAAAAACTTGCATAACTATAAATGAATGAAGCAACATGATTACTTTCAAATTAAATCTACATATTATGGAGAAAAAATGTAGAATGTACATACATAAACCTGTAATTAATGATTTTTTCATAATTCAAATATTTGGAGATAACCACTATTGAAGATGTGTTAAATTCCCCTCCAGCCTTTACAGAATCTTTCATATCTTATTCCAAAAATTCACATTATATTTGAGTTTTACTTAGAAGTCAAACAAATAATATTATGTCCTATTTCCATTTCTTTAATTAATAAATACTTTTCAATCTCTTTTCAATATCCTGTGCTACCACATTTTGGATGCCGATCCTTTCCTTAGCCCCAAGGTTTGCTGATTTTTATTTAGACATCACTGGACTGAAGAGATGTTTACCAGACTCAGTTCTGTTTGGAAACAAGGCAGGCAATTTTCTGTTTAACTACTCACTGTCCACTTGGCTCCTTTACTTTTATACTCTCACATATTTAGCCAATGTAAATTTCTATTATCTCAACAGTGATTTAGCCACTTAAGGAATGGGAATCCTATAGAAAGTTCCCAAAGAAAAACACCATCAGTGAAGAGTTTACTTGCTTGTTATTTTTCTCTTTTCTTTTTTCTACGTTTGCTAAAGCTGCTATACTCGGGGTCAGGTTTTTGTTTGTGGGTTTTGTTTTGTTTTGTTTTTTATAGCCTTTTTCCCTACAACTGTATGTTTAGACCATCCTCTACATCATGTAGAGTTACGTGTTTTCACTCAGTCCCCTTCCTGATGTTCCTGGCCAGGAACCCTCCACCCTCCTGAGAGTTTACCAGAACTTCTATGCCCCCCATGAGGAAGCACTGCTCTGTCAGGTAGAAGTATTTGAACTTTAGCACTTTCCTCTAATTCTGCAGCATAGCTAATAAAACATCCTTGGAATTTCCAGTACATTGTAGCAACTCTCCTTCTTAGTAGCTTGTGTCGATGAAGTAGTCCAAGTTGTGAGGGTGTAGATATGAGGGACTGGGGAAACCAGAAGGGGAATACAGAGAGAAGAGACTGTTGGAACTGAGAGCCAGAATTTGAGCAGCTCTGTAATGGTAAAGCCAGAACAAGTATGATAAGAATAGAATAAAGCTGACACAGCAAAGAGACGTCCAGTTACTGCCCATACTAACCATCAAATCAGAAAGAGACAGGGTAGTGGAGTACCTTTGTACAGGACCTTTCTGACATGGTGACGGGGTATTGGATTGAAGAAGGGACAAAACCAAAAGTAGGACCCCAAGGGTTGGATTAGAGCTCCTGAACAAAAATCTGAACACTTGGAACATGAAAGAGCCCATTAGGTATCCACTTCTGACAGAAAAAGGGTATAAAGTAAAAGTGTCATCACAATAACAAAGCATCAGTTATATGAACTGGCTTAGGTCACAGAAGAATTATAGCAAGACAGACTAGATACTGCCTCCCCTGATGTATTCAACCAAGGCTTTGTTAATTTGAGTTAAGCAAAGGTTTATTTGCACAGCCTGATAGATAGCCTATGATTGATTCCAAATCAGGGTTGAAATAAAAGCAGTTCACTAAAGACATTATATAAGAAATAAACATTTAAATTATGATTTATAAATGATTAGTATAGAAGAGGAAACAGTCAAAGAGTAATTAGTCCAGAAAGCTGGAAAGATCATCATATATATACTTGCATATATGTGATCTTGAATTTTCAATATTGATTTTAAAAATTCAAAAAAAATTTAAAGAGTATTCAAATATTTGAACATACCAGTTTTAAATTTAAAAGTCAACATAATACTCAATTCTATTCAGAAGCATCTTTTATTGATTTATATTAATGCAACAACTATTTAAGGGTCTAGCAATTAATAGTTTATAAATAACTAGGTTAAGTTAAATAACGTTAAGTAAAATAATGACCTGATATATATATATATATATATATATGTTTATTACATGTTTTCAATGAATGATTTCAATGACTGCTGCCAGCATTATGTTGAAGCATGAAGATATAGTTAGAAATGACAGTCTCTTGAGATACTAATTCAAAATTAAGTTTTGTCTTAAGTACAATTAAAATCCAAATTAATCATTGAAGTAAGTAGCTTCATCTGATAGAGGTTGAGATAAGCTTAATAGAGGAGATAATGTGTGATCTCAGTCTTGATGGATGAGTTAGGATGTTCCAAACAGAGAATAAGGATAAGAGTTTTCCAAGTAAAGGAATCAGCATAGTGAATGCATGGACAAATTAGAGAATATAGTCTTTGAAACATGGCACAAAATCTCGTGATTGTCTCTTTGGTCTCTTTTGTTGGAGAGTAGAGTCATGAAGGAAGCATAGGATCTGTCTCTTCCTCTTGTCAAGAGGTCCTCCCTCCTTTGTCAACCTGAATGTGTAGAGTTTTATTTGTTAAAAGAATGGTTATCTTACATTGTCTCTAGGGAATTACTTTAGGGATAAATGTCCAGTAAGCATAGAAAATGTGATTATAGATTTCTAGATAAAGACCAATTATGGGAATATGATTTTGGAGCCATCCAACAGAGGGTAGATGTAGCTATGTAAAGAAATAAGAATACCAAGGAAAGCATGCAATGTTGGAAAACACGGACCAAGAAAAGAATTCCTGCAATCATCAACATTTAAAAGGCTAGGAAGGCAGAATATTCAGCATTTTTTTTTTTTTTTGAGATGGAGTCTCATTTTGTCACCCATGCCAGAGTGCAGTGGCTCAGTCTCGGCTCACTGCAAACTCCGCCTCCGGGGTTCAAGTGATTCTCCTGCCTCAGCCCCCAGAGCAGCCGGGACTACAGGCACACATCACCACTCCTGGCTAATTTTTGTATTTTTAGTAGAGATGGGATTTTGCCACGTTGGCCAGGCTGGTCTCAAACTCCTGACCTCAGGTGATGCGCCCGTTTTGGCCTCCCAAAGTGCTGGGATTACAGGCGTGAGCCACCGTGACCAGCCTCAGCATTTCAAAACTATGGGGAAAACATGGTCCTAAAAATGAAAGGAAGAAAGCTTCTATTTGAAAATTACTAACACTGTCAGATGCAGCAAGGAAGCAGTGGAGGAAAATGAGTTAAGGAAGACATTTACCAACTAGAAGGCTGTAGGTAACAATAACCAGTCCGTTTCAACAAAGTGATAGATGCACCTTGAGTGGAAGAGTAAATGGAAGTTGAGGAAGCAAAGATAGCAAATACAGACTATTCGTTCAAGACATTTTAGAAAATGCTGGAGTCAATAAATCAGCTTGTAGGTTAAGTAAGCTTGAGGCAAAATTTTTGTTTGTTTTATAATTTTTATTTCAGAATAGAGAACTCTAAAACATTTTTATATTCTGGAAGGTAGAGGTGGATAGAAAAAAAAGGATATTTGGTGGATTAAAGTAATGAAGAAACAAAGAGATGTCATCAAGAGTATAGGTGGGGCCGGGCACGGTGGCTCACGCCTGTAATCCCAGCACTCTGGGAGGCTGAGGCGGGTGTTTGGCCTGAGGTCAGGAGTTCAAGACAGGCCTGGCCAACATGGTGAAACCCCGTCCCTACTAATAATACAAAAATTAGCTGGGCGTCCTGGTGGGTGCCTGTAATCCCAGCAACTTGGGAGGCTGAGGCAGGAGAATCGCTTGAACCCAGGAGGCAGACGTTGCAGTGAGCCAAGATTGCGCCATTGCATTCCAGCCTGGGCAACAAGAGTGAGACTTCATCTCAAATTAAAATAAATAAATAAATAAAAAGAGTATAGGTGGAATAAATTATCTGAGAAAGAAGAGTGAGGGCTTCATCTGAGAAGGGGAAAGGTAGCACCAAATATTTAAATTTAGAAGTGAAAGAGAGAGGGAAGTTATGGACTTTTACTTTACGGCCTCCATTTGCCTTTTTAAATAGGAGATATTTCAAATGCTTTGAGTTAGAAAAAGGTGAAGGCAGCATTGGAGACTTAACATGAACAAAAGTAGCATCTTGTGTACACTTACTACATTCCAGTCCCTAAGGCAGCTGCTTTCCCATTTATGATTCAGAAAATCCATGTAACTTTGACAAGCTACTCATTAAAATGGAGTCTTAAGTTTATAGGTAAGGAAACTGAAGCTCAACGTGGATATTGACTCAGGGTTACACAGTTAGTGTGTAGCAGACTTTGGATTTGAAATTTCATGTTAGTCCTAAAGCCTGTATTCTTTCCACTACATTAATCTATTCCCATCCACCCTCCAGAATAGTAGCAACTTGGACAATGCCAAGAGTTAATTAAGGGCTAAAAAAGATTGACCACATGTATATAGGCTCATCTGAATAACAGTGAAGGCATCTTACAATTGTCTCTAATGATATTCAGCAGTTTCAAACAGCAGTGGAGAAAACAAAAGTTTCAACAGAACCAAGGCCAATGAATTATAAAGGTGAATACACAGATACACAAAGAACCAAGTAGTTTGTGGTGACGTTTTGTGAATACCACTGCAGTGAGGTCTCCCCTGTGTCAGAAAAAAGCAAAATCTGGGGGCATTGAAAGACTGAAAATGAGATGTCTGCTGACAGCTGAGGATGAAGATCAAATTGAAAGAGTGGAAAAGCAGTGGAAGGTATAGATTCACACAGCAGATGCTGCTTAGACACAATTGTTACCAACGTTAAACTCTCTACGTGACCCTTCATAGTTTTACAAAGTGCATCAATATAGTATGTAATTTGGGAAAGCAACACATTATAATGAAAATAACTTGGCCTTTGACCATGAAGCTCAAGTTCTTCCAGTACTGTATAATAGCATTAAGAAGTGACTTCATTTCTTCCTTTTTTCATTTGTTAAATGAGAATAACATTTAACACTCCCTTGTGAAGTGTTATGAGTATCAAAATAAATGAACAAAAACAACTGGCACAGGGTATGTACTTAATACACGGTAGCTCTATTTATTAATATTCTTATTAGAATAATTTCATTCTTACAATAAGATTGTGAGATAGACAATGTTACTTCACTATATACTATTTTGGATTTAGTTGATGCCCTCTTAACTAACTTTGCAAATGAGAAAAAGAGGATTAGAGAGAAAAACAAACTGTCCTGAGGAGATTGGACTAGGATGAGAGAACAGCTTGTTAATTTTGTTCCAGGATTTTATTCTATAAATAATGCTGAATCTATATACTGATCAATTAATCAATATAGACTACAAAGTCTGTCAAGTGGTTCAAATATGAGAATATGGGTGGACATATAAAACTCTATGCAACATTTTGGCTGGGACTGGTGGCTCACGCCTGTAATCCCAGCACCTTGGGAGGCCGAGGTGGGTGGATCACGAGGTCAGGAGATGGAGACCATCCTGGCCAATATGGTGAAACCCCGTCTCTACTAAAAATACAAAAGAAACTAGCTGGGCATGGTGGCGGGCGCCTGTAGTCCCAGCTACTCAGGAGGCCGAGGCAGGAAAATCGCTTGAACCCAGGAGGTGGAGGATGCAGTGAGCCGAGATCATGCCACTGCACTCCAGCCTGTGTGACAGAGTGAGACTCTGTCTCAAACAACAACAACTACAAAGTCTATGCAACATTTTTCATCTTAGAAGAAGGAAGGTTATCGCTGGAGAAAAGTGAAAGATGAACACGGAAGCTTATTTATTTACTCCAACTGCAAAATAGAAAAGATATTTAGCAAGAGAGATAGAAACATTGGAGGCATATCTCTCCAGTGACATTACAGATACAGTTAGAATGGAAAATGCTGGAGACGATAGGCCAGTAAACAAAGGCACAGTGGCCAAAGTGGTAAGTGCCGTGCCAAATGATATTTTTCCAACAGTAGGATAACAAAAAGATTTATTTCTGTTTGAGGCTCATATATTGTTTTTTTCAATTTCTAATAGGAAAATAATGTTAACACAGTGAGTCCTCTTTTTCTACTGAACTCATCCACTTTTCTATCTTTCTCTGTCCAGCTGTTTAATCCACACAAACACTCAAAATAAAGTTTCTGGACAAAATATCTATAACAATGTGGAATTTTGAAAGTTAACACAATAAATGAGTAAAATTAGAGTTGACTTATATTTAAAATAATTTCCATGTGGAAAGTAAAACCTGACAAAATTCATCTTGCCAGTCCGGAAAAAGCAAGTCATTTTAATCAAGCCAATATTTTAATTAGCCCACCAAATTTAACTCTAGGTACATCTGTTCCATATCATGTCCATGAATTAGCAATATAGTGTGTGACTGAATTTATAACTAATTCAACTTGACTACACTAATAAAATTCAAGTTACTGTTAAGGAGTCGATGTATTACTTAATCACCTAATATTATCCAAATATCTTAGTAAACATATTCTTAAAAACAAAAAAAATTCTGGCTGAGTGTGGTGGCTCATGTCTATAAGCCCAGTGCTTTGGGAGGCTGAAGTGGGAGGATCTCTTGAGGCTAGGAGTTCAGGGCTACAGTGAGCTATGATTTTGCCACTATATTGAAGTCTGGGCAACAGAGTGAGACCCTATTCTAAAACAAAAACAAAACAAAACAAAATCCAAGAAAGTCCTACCACGCTAGTATATTTTCTCCTTAGAGTCATTGTTTCAGCAAATGTGAAATATATCTTTAGAGTTACATAATTTTAATGTCTTCAGGTATACTTTTTCAAAATTTCTTCAGATCCTTTAAAGAAAATTTGAAAACCGAATCTGATAACATTTCCAAACTAAAGTAGACTAATGTAGCTGCTACAAAACATCCACCATTACTCAGTAGCCACATAAGGAAAAGAAATCATCTGGTTGACACAGTATCATAAATGTGAAAAGTGATGAACTAGGATAACATTAAGTTTTTGGTATGAGAGACAAAAGTTCATACATAGAAAGCCTCAGATTTTTCTTTGTAATTGACTTATTATGGACACTGCCCCTTATATCAAGAATTATGTTACAATTACGTCTCAAAGCTCAAAGATAGAAAAGTTAATAAAAATAGCTACCTTATGTTAAGTACTTAATTTACTACTGGCCAAATACAAACATATAACTTACAGTTTAGGTTTGAATTTTTATACAATTAAATTTTAAGTTTTATTTTTTAAATTTTATTTATTTATTTATTTATTTATTTATGAGACAGGTTCTGGCTCTGTCGCTCAGGCTGGAGTGCAGTGGCGTAATCTTGGCTCACTGCAACCTCCACCTCCTGGGCTCAAGTGATCCTGCTACCTCAGCCTCCTGAGTAGCTAGGACTACAGGCATGCGCCACCACGCCTAGCTAACTTTTGTATTTTTGGTAGAGACAGGGTTTCACCATGTTGTCCAGGCTGGTCTCAAACTCCTGGGCTGAAGTAATCCTCCTGCCTTGGCCTCCCAAAGTGCTAGGATTACAGGCATGAGCCACCTCAACTGGCCTAATTTTTATTTTGGATTTTAAAAATATTTTATGCTTAAAATATTTTATATTCATTTTTTATATTTAATTTCATATACATATATAAATTTAATTTTCACTACTGATTTTATGAAGACAATATTATTAAAAACCTTATAACAGATCTAAACTACAGAGACAAAATAAAAACCCAGGTATTCTTGAATCAAAAGCTTATATCATTAATCTCTACTCCCTCACACACTAATGAGAACTATACAGCACATATTTTCTTTCGGACTTAACTTGATTGTCAATAAGTTAAATATCATAATCAGAAAACGTTGGTTTTGTTCTCTCTTCCTGTTTCTCTTTTCTCACCCCCTAATTACATACATTATACACATATAAATCAACTACTCTCTACTGTTTCCTCCCAATTTTATTTTGGACCTTGTTTTAAATTTTGTTTTAAACAGCACAGAAGGGGGCCATAAAAAGAATTATCTTTCACTGATTATTTTCTGTATGCTGAGTATTGAATTGGATATTTTATACTTGCTCCCTCATAAAATCCCCCAACAAACCCATTTGGCAAATGTCAAACAGCTCTTAAATGGCAAACTGAAGACTTCAGCTCAAAAGTGACTCAAAGCCTCAATAAGCATATAAAAGGCACACAATTTTCTTGAGCATCAGAAAGATTGGAAATTAAGACCACAATGTGATACAACCATGCAGCCATTAGAATCCTAAGAAAAAGACAGACAATGCTTAATGTGGGGTAACTAGAAAACTTATACACCACTTGTGGGCATAAAATAGGTACAATGACTCAAAAATGGTTTAGCAGTATTTACTAAAGTTGAACATATGTATCCTCTATGGCACAGCAATTCCACTACTAAAATATACTAACTAAAAACACACCCATAAGTTCACCAAAAGATATGGACAAGAATGCTCATAGCAGCACAATTACAGCACAATTGCTATAAACAATTAGAATGATCAGAAAAAGTGGGAAAGTAAATTGTGTTATATCCATGTAAATAAATTACAGTAATGAAAACACATGAACGAAAACTACACACAACATAGATCAATCTCAGTATAACTGTTGAGCAAAATAAGCTAACCACACAAAAAACACTTGATGTATGATTCCATTACATAAAATTCTAAATGAGGCAAAACTAATCTATGATGATAGAAATCATAATAGTGTTTATTTTGGGGGTAGTTATTGAAGGGGGACAACAGATTCTGGGGCACTGGTGTTCTATTTATTGATCTAGATGCTGCTTAAATTGATGTGTTCAATTTTTGAAAAAAAATCATAGGTTATCTTTTTTTGTCTGTATACTTTTCTTTATTCATTTTATAAGTTAACAAAACAGGTGTACTTAACGAATGTCTCTGCTGTTTCTGTTATGCTTAATTTATGTTTTAAAGACCAGAAAAGTAAAAACAAATACATATTATCATGTTACCACTAAACCGTTCCAAGAGTTGGCAGAATCTATATAATTAAAGAAAAAAGTTGTCAGGAGAGGGGGCAATAAGCTTTGGTTGTGTTCCCCACCCTAATCTCATCTTGAATTGTAGCTCCCATAATCCCCCTGGTCATGGGAGGAACCAGGTAGAGATAATTGAATCATGGGGGTAGTTTCCCCCATCCTGTTAGTGATAGTAAGTTCTCATGAGATCTGATGACATCATAAGGGGCTCTTCACCCTTTGCTCAGCATGTCTCCTTCCTGCCATCATGTGAAGAAGGACAGGTTTGCTTCCACTTCCACCATGATTGTAAGTTTCCTGAGGCTTCCTCAGCCATATGGAACTGTGAGTCAATTAATCCTCTTTCCTTTATAAATTACCCAGTTTCAGGCAGTTCTTTATAGCAGCATGGGAACAGACTAATACAGGGGGACTTGCAAATTCCTTTTATAAACACTTTAACCAACTTAACCAAAAAAGTGTTTAAAAAAACAAAAATTCACCAAATTTAACTAAATCTTTTACATATTATAATCAAGGCCTGAAATTTTTTAATTTAGACTTAGAATCTTGGAGTTTTACATCAAGGCATAAATGTAACAAACCCATTCATTTATCTACACATTCATTCATTCCATAGTTATTTACTACTAGATTCTAAGCACTTAAGGGTTTTGAGGAGGTGCATATTCCTTCTAGTACTTGAGTAGCAAATGCAAATGCCTCTTATTGCCAGGTGGAGATGGCAAACTGGCAAAAAGCCTGGGTGCAAGTGTGCATTGTGTGCTTGACAGAAACTGTGGAATACTGTTAAGCACATGTCCCATGTGGAAAGTGGGGCTCCAACTACTTAGCACCAACTGGTTCTTTTCATGTGGGTCCATTGAAAATCACAATTTACTATGTGAAACCAACCGGTTTTTAAAAGTATGCTCTTTGCAAGAAAACAAACAAGAAACACTGTCTGTGACAAACAAAGCACATCTGTGAGCTGAATTGGGCGTATTGCTGCCAGTTTCTAACGTCTGATCAAACTAAAGAGACATGAATGCTTGCTGGGTCACAATTATGAGAAGCTCATTTGCCCTTTAGGTGCCAAAGCACTCAAAGCACCACACTCGTTCTCCTTCTTCTGGTTTGCTGTAGCCTCAGGATTAACAGTTGAAAAATAAATTGCTTAATTAAATACATTATGGTTTATTCTTACCATGAAATACTAGGCGGGCATTTGAATGAATGAGATAGAATTATATCCATATGTGTATGTGTATGTATGTGTGTGTGTGTGTGTCTGTGTGTGTGTGTATGAATGTCCATGAAATATTTTGAGTGAGAATCAACAAAATCAGAATAAGGACTGCAAAATCAGAATTAGGAATGCCATGGAAGAGGTGGGCAAAGATGGCTTTGGAGCATTTCACTTTTCCTTATTTTGACTTCTTCCATGTATTTATATTTGTTCAAGTGGGGGAAAAAAAAGCCCTCATAGTGGCTCCCTGTGAATTAAGCCTCCTAGTTCTTTAATTAGTTACAGAGTTCTGGTTCAACATATGCCTCTCCCGCTCCCTCATTCCCTAGAGGCCACCTGCAGGGCTGCTCAGCAACATAAGCATCACGCTGTTTCTCTCAGGGCCTTCTCTTTGCTCACAGGCAAGGTGAGCAGAGTGAAGGTGCAAGAGAGTGAGGTTTCTTACTAACTGCCTCACACACAGGAAGGATGCAAAAGAGTGATCCATAAGTGACATTTGTCAAGAAGTCTACCTTTCTAATAGCTTTCTTATAATCATTTTCAGACAAAAACTAGCACAAGGAATCCTCTTTTCCTTCCCATCAGAAAATCATTTAACTAGCTTTCACTAATAAGATTGACAGGAGAGGAAGGCCAGAAGGAACAATCCCTCTATTCTAGAACATTTTTAAATAACCTTGGATGTTTTAAAATCACAAAAATAATAGACTGCAAGCTTCTGGAGACAGTGTCAGGCTCACCTTTTAATGCCGTGGGGAACACAGCACTGCCTTTTCTATTAGCTGCACTGAAAAGTATCTTTTGATTTCAGTAAAGAAAGCAGAAGAAACAATGTAGAAAATGGCATACTCCAATGGATAAAATGCATAATTTCTTTTAAAGTATTGGTTTCCATTGAATTCTTCTAATGCTAATTTATATCATATATATATATAATTTGAGATGGAGTCTTACTCTGCAACCCAGGCTAGAATGCAGTGGCGCAATCTCGGCTCACTGTAACCTCTGCCTCCCAGGTTCAAGCAATTCTCCTGTCTCAGCCTCCAGAGTAGCTGGGATTACAGGGGCCCACCACCACGCCTGGCTAATTTTTTTGTATTCCTAGTAGAGACGGGGTTTCACCACATTGGCGAGGCTGGTCTTGAACTCCTGACCTCCTGTGATCTGCCCACCTTGACTTCCCAAAGTGCTGGGATTACAGGCATGAGCTGGATATTTATTGGGTAGCTACTATGTTAGTGTAAATAATTATCTGTTTCGCATTTAACTTTCAATATCAACTCCAATGCGTAAAATAATCCCATTCTCCCTACTGAAAAAAAAAAAAAAAGTACCATTGTCAGGTAATCTCTATTTTTATGGCCCGTAATCTCCATTACATTTCTAGCAAAAGACAAAACAAAAGAAACAAACAAAACCATATACAGTAATTAGTCTGCAGAATGAAAAACTCATAGACTGAGACCAAAACAAAACATATTCTGACTTCATAGGGGAATACTCATTACCTTCTAACCACTTACTTGAAATGAAAATATTAAAAATTACCATAATTTTTAAATCAGTAAAACATTTCTATATATTATTTTCACATAAATGGATCAAGAAATTGCAGGCCAGTCATTCTTCACATCATGTGACCAAAAAGTTTATAAAAGTATCTTGGTACAAATTATAATCTGGACATTTTTGTTAACTAAAGTCTAGTTTAATATATAAAAATTATCTGAAAGTATAATGTTATAAAAATGTAAATATTCATATATTTATTCTATTAAATTGGCTATTACCCACTCTAGATTTTTACAAATTATTTTAAAATGGTTATCTTTAATATTTTTATTTTTACCTACTATTAAAGATAATTTTGGGCCGGGCGTGATGGTTCAAGCCTGTAATCCCAGCACTTTGGGAGGCCGAGGCGGGTGGATCACGAGGTCAGGAGATGGAGACCATCCTGGCTAACACGGTGAAAACCCGTCTCTACTAAAAATACAAAAAATTAGCCTGGCGTGGTGGCGGGCTCTTGTAGTCCCAGCTACTCGGGAGGCTGAGGCAGGAGAATTGCGTGAACCCGGGAGGCGGAGCTTGCAGTGAGCCGAGATGGCGCCACTGCACTCCAGCGTGGGCGACAGAGCAAGACTCCGACTCAAAAAAAAAAAAAAAATATATATATATATATATATATATAATGTGTGTATATATATTTGATAAACAAGCAATAATAAATAACAGAAACTTTAAAATAACAGATTTGGAAATCTTCAGAATTTCAGGGGTTTAGAATTGGGTGCAGGAAGAGTTGATATTAAAGAAAGTGGTTTGTAAAATTAAGATATGCATATTTATTTGTGAAAGGACAAAGAATATTAAATGCATGGCTATAATGATCTCAGTTGTGAAAGAGAAAAGGCACATTTCAGTCACATAATGGGTGACTTTTTGAACCTCAAAAACTTACAAGTTTTGTTGAATATCCCAATGAGTTTACTTTGTACTATAAGCAGAAAAAAAAGTTAAGAAACAAATATTTATAAAATACTTTTGAGGAAAACATCTGATTTTAAAATTCATGTATTTGTAGCATGTATGCTTTATTTGGAATAATAATCATGGCCTAAAAATATATTTTCAATATTTACTTAAAATATGGTGTTCAAGCTCTCAGGGATCGATGAGATAACGTGTAACACATATGACTTTAAAAGGCAAGAACATTATGTCTAAATAGTAATCTCCTGCTGTCACATTACAAAATATTTAACTACAGAATACAAGCAACTGGAAGACATCATTTCCAGTCTATAACATTTAACTGTGGGCTACCTTTTAAAAACATTATTTGTGTAAAGTATCTACATATTTTCAGAGAGATTTGTACTCTCAGAGGTATATGTATAACCCTTATGATTTTGAAGCCAATACTATCCAAATAGCTGTGCTGCTACTTTCTGCACTAGAGGAAACTTTTATCAAAACCATACACTGAAAATCACAGAGTACATTGTTGATTATCTTTGAGGCAAAATATATTTGCATGACTAATTTAGCCTGCATACTTAAAACTTAATATAAATATGCTCTAAATAAATATAGACTGAGAAAATATACTGTACCCTGTTAAAATATGGCAGCAGTCTATATTCAAATGCTTATGCCCTCAAGGACAATCAAATTTTCCGAGGTTTGAGCAGAAAAATTCTGCAGATGGCCCACACATTCATCCCTTAATCTTTGCAAGGAGAAATGCAGTTTTCTTTTAAGAGGAGCACTACAAAGTTCTAAAAAAGAACAGCTTCATTTCTCATCTTTCATTCTGGGCCTATGCCTTGCCTCTCCCAGAAACATTTTCTAAAAATACCTGTATTAATGCAACCTTTCTTTAACATGTAAGATATGGAAAGAATACTGTGGTGGGTAGAATGCTTATGATGTTCAAGAATCCCACTCTCAAATATAGCTGTACGACACGATCCCCTTCCTCTGGTGTAGGCACACCTGCGAATACGGTAAGAAATCACTCCTTATACTACTTTATATGGCAAACGTGATGGGATAGTCATTGTCATGATGAAGCTGTGCTGTATGATTCCCTCTTAGTAAACTGAACAGAAAGATTTGCCTGCTGGTCTAGAAGAAGTATGCAGCCATGTTATGACAGGGCCGCATGGCAAGGAACTGCATGTGACCCCTAGGAGTTGACAGCAGCCCCTGGCTGATAGCCATCTAGAAAATGAGGACCTTGGTCTTACAACTGCAAGGAAGTGAATTCTGCCAATAACCTCATGAACCCGGAATATGACCCTGAGCTCCAGAAAGATTGCAACACCTTGATTTCAGCCTTGGGAGACCTTTAGCAGAGGAGCCAACTAAACAGTGCCTGGACTCTCACGTCCCACAGAAACTGTGAGATAATAAGTGTGTGAAGCTGTGTTTTAATCAGCTACATTTTTGGTAATTTGTTTGCAAGAAAGAAAATACAAATAGTAACGTGCTAATATTCTTGTGCTAAAGTCGTCTCATTCTTAAGAGAAATGTTGGCTGTTAAGTAATGAAAACCATTTTAATTTTGCAAGAGTTCAAGGTCTTTGCCAATTCTCTAGAAATATGTGCTTTATACCTAAAACTCTGTTTCTTATTGTCTGAGCATCTACATTCAACACATAATTTCCATTTTCTTTGAGATGTGAGTAAAATCAGAGGTAGACATAAACTTGTAGTAGTTTATATTTGTATCACTTGTTACTGTTTAAAAAGTGCTCTGAGACTTTTGAGAGAATAGCAGCAGGGACACTCATTTTATTCTCCATGAAATCCCCCCATAAAAACAGAGGGATTAAGTAGGATGCAAAATCAAAACCTCATCAACAACGCCTGTAGCAAAAAATAAATAATTTAAGTTTTCTCTACCTGCTATTCTAAGAAAAATCTTCTTTCAGCATTCTTAGACTTTTTATGTTTTTCTCCATATTTCTTTAACGACTCTATTTTATTTATTTATTTATTTATTTATTTATTATTTTTGAGTTGGAGTCTCATTCTTGTTGCCCAGGCCGGAGTGCAATAGTGAGATTTTGGCTCACTGCAACCTCCACCTCCTGGGGTCAAGCGATTCTCCTGCCTCAGCCTCCTGAGTAGTCAGGATTACAGATGCCGGCCACCATGCCTGGCTAATTTTTATATTTTTAGTAGAGATAGGGTTTCACCATGTTGGCCAGGCTGGTCTTGAACTCCTGACCTCAGGTGATCTGTCAGCCTTGGCCTCCCAAAGTGCTGGGATTACAGGCAAGCGCCACTGTGCCTAGCCACGACTCTATTTCTTGATTAAATTAATGATATTATTACATTTATTATGTCACTATTCAGTAATCTCCTTTCTAATTACTTATCCCCTTACTAAAACTGTACCATTGATACTATTAACTATCATTTTAAAACTTTTCTTTTTCAAATGTAATTCGGATTTTGCACTAACCTGATTTGCCTTATATCCAATTTTTCTCTGAGTGCTCATGACACTCCCTAGACATTCTACCACCACCTAAATAATGGCACTTTTCAAGTTATTTTGGGAAAGTGAGAGTGAGAAAAGAAAAGTGAGAGCAGAATGACAGAGACAGACAGAGAGAGAGAGAGAAGACTCTCAGAGGAAACTATTAACTACTCCCCCAGGGTTTAATAATTCAGTCTATTCTGAGAACACCCTCTCCTAGCTCCAGATTCATTCTTTCAAATAACCATAAGTGAAAATGAAAAAATTAAAACAGAAATAAATACTGGACATCTGTTAGATTCTTACAAAAACCTACCCTGCTTCCATAGCTCTCTCTTGCTTGTAAGAACTTTGTATTTCTTCCCAATCAGCAAGAAATAAAATTAGAATTGCTTTTTAATTCCCTTTCATGTTTGACATCAGACAAAATGCTAAGTTACAGAAACTCTCCTGCTGAGCAGCTTCTCACTTGAGTTCAACACTTCCTTTTCTTTCCTATTGCAACAACAGTGTTAAATACCTTCATGATCTCTCATAACGATCATGTAATAGCCTCCTTAAATTTCTCTGCTTTTCATCTCTCCCTGCTTGAATCAATCTTAAATATTATGAATGTCTTGTCAATCAAATACTCTGTTCAAAACTCCATCGTCTCCGTGCTGTCTTTACAATAACACAAAATGCCAATGTGTAGTATTAAAATCTTCCACCAACTTATCCCAGTTTTATCTCCTGCTGTTCTCTAACCAACATAAATTTCTGCAAACCGATTCCATAAATCCCTGCCTCTTAGCTGCTTAATCAAAGTATTCTCCTTGCCTAAATGATTTGTAACTTTTAATTCCCTCATGTAAAATTGCATCAAGCCTTTAAATGGTGTTTTGGGGATAAATCTCATACTGCTTTTATTATCGGATGGTCACCAGTTTCTCTTGTGACATATATATATATAATTTTTTCAAAATATATTATATCTGATATTTAGATAATTATGTGGGATATTATTTCAATCATATAAACATTCAACTATTGGAATTTGAAATAATATTCAATCATATTTAAAGATTCTAATATGACTCAAATATTTCAATCATATTTAATATTTAGGTAATTATGTGATATAAAGTTATTCAATATCATGTGTATGAAGTGGAAGTACACCAAGTTCCAGTTCTGCTAATGATAATGCATCTTACATTGGACAAATCTTTCAAAGAAAATGATGATAAACTATATATATGTATATATATTTATTTATTTTTAAAAACTTCTAGAAGGCACTGGAGATCAATTAAGAATAGACAAAGACTAAAGAGATTTTTCACTTGAGGAAACCCCTTAATTCATGTGGAAATGAATGGCTAGAACTCAAGCAGAAAAATGAGTGGTGAAATCTAGAAGCTGTGGTATGTACCCTTATAAATTATCTTCAACATCCCTGTCCAACATCTGAACCGTATGTGCAAGCAAATGAAAGGTAGTGCCTGGAAAGTTGAAAAAGGTAACTACTGCCCATTGCAAGTTTACATGGGCTAATATACCTTTCAAGTAAACTATGCTGTGTATGGTACATCCAACGGGGTGAGCTTAGTAGCACATTGGAGATATCAGGAGAAATAGTACATGAATTTGAATATAAATCAATAGAATTTTTCCAATCTGAAAAGCAGAGGAAAAGAAGGTTGAATAAAAATGAACTGTGTGTCTTAGATCAATGCCTAGAAGTCTAATAAATATATATATTTTTCTTTTTTGTTATATATATGATTATATGTTATATATAATAATATATATAGTTATATATAACAAATATAAATATATATGTATATATGTATATATATACACATATGTATATGTGTGTGTGTGTGTGTGTGTATATATATATATACACACACTGAAGGAAAGGAGTGGGTAAATGAAGAAATATTATTTGAAGAAATAATGACCAAAATTTACCAAATTAGATGGAAAGAATAACGTTAAGTATCCAAGAATCTCAGTATCCTAAGAAATACAGATACTGATCCCTCCCACTCCTGCAAACATAAAGTCACACTATTGAAACTGTTGAAAACCAATGATAAAGACAAAATCTTAAAAGATAAAGCAATTTTAAAAGGGAAACATCAATAGGAATAAAGCTTTACATTAGAAAGAGATTAGAAGACAAAGCAGTTTGAGATACTGAAAGGAGAAAACAAAACAAAACCACAAAGCAACTATTAACGCAGAATTCTATAACCAAGGAAAATTCCTTTGAAAATAAAGGTGAAACAAAAGCATTTTCAAATAAATGAAACTGAATTTGTTTCTAGCAGATTTGCATCACAAGAGGTAAATATTCTGACTGTGTATATACATACACACGTATATACATAGGTATACTTTGTTGTACACATCTATATATTCTGACCTTACAGTGGCCTGATTTGCCTTCCATATCTCTAAAGTTCTACTTTTATATCCTCTGCATTGTTTCTTTAAAATGAATCAATAAATACACTATGATGTATTTTGGATGTTAGTTAATCTACAACTAGGAGTGGTTAACATTTAAAATATGCTAATTGTCAGGCCTCTGAGCCCAAGCCAAGCCATCGCATCCCCTGTGACTTGCACGTATTCGCCCAGATGGCCTGAAGTAACTGAAGAATCACAAAAGAAGTGAATATGCCCTGCCCCACCTTAACTGATGACATTCCACCACAAAAGAAGTGTAAATGGCTGGTCCTTGCCTTAAGTGATGACATTACCTTGTGAAAGTCCTTCTCCTGGCTCATCCTGGCTCAAAAAGCACCCCTACTGAGCACCTTGCGACCCCCACTCCTGCCCGCCAGAGAACAAACCCCTTTTGACTGGAATTTTCCTTTACCTACCCAAATCCTATAAAACGGCCCCACCCTTATCTCCCTTCGCTGACTCTCTTTTCGGACTCAGCCCGCCTGCACCCAGGTGAAATAAACAGCCATGTTGCTCACACAAAGCCTGTTTGGTGGTCTCTTCACACGGACGTGCATGAAATTTGGTGCCGTGATTCAGATCGGGGGACCTCCCTTGGGAGATCAATTCCCTGTCCTCCTGTTCTTTGCTCCATGAGAAAGATCCACCTACGACCTCAGGTCCTCAGACTGACCAGCCCAAGGAACATCTCACCAATTTTAAATCAGGTAAGCAGCCTCTTCTTACTCTCTTCTCCAACCTCTCTCACTGTCCCTCAACCACTTTCTCCTTTCCACTCTTCAATCTCTCCCTTAATTTCAATTCCTTTCATTTTCTGGGAGAGACAAAGGAGACACATTTTATCCGTGGACCCAAAACTCCGGCACGGGTCATGGACTGGGAAGGCAGCCTTCCCTTGGTGTTTAATCATTGCAGGGACGCCGCTCTGATTATTTACCCACGTTTCAAAGGTGTCAGACCACGCAGGGATGCCTGCCTTGGTCCTTCACCTTTAGCGGCAAGTCCTGCCTTTCTGGGAAAGGGGCAAGTACCCCAACCCCTTCTCTCCTTGTCTCTACCCCTTCTCTGCTTTTCTGGGGGAGGGGCAAGCACCCCAACCTCATATCTCTGCGCCCCAATCCCTTATTTCTGCACCCCAATCCCTTATTTCTGCGCCCCGACCTCTTGTATCTCTGTGCCCCGGCCCCTTATCTCCGTGCCCCGGCCCCTTATTTCTGCGCCCCATCCCTTATTTCCGCACCCCGACCTCTTATCTCTGTGCCCCAACCCCTTTTCCCACTTTTCTGGAAGGTAAGAACCCCCAAACCCATTCCCTCCATTTCTCTACTCTCTCTTTTCTCTAGGCTTGCTTCCTTCACTATAGGCAAGCTTCCACCCTCCATTCCTCCTTCTACTCCCTTGGCCTGTGTTCTCAAAAACTTAAAAGCTCTTCAACTCACACCTGACCTAAAACCTAAATGCCTTATTTTCTTCTGCCATGCCGCTTGACCCCAATACAAACTGGACAGTAGTTCCAAATAGCCAGAAAATGGCACTCTGAATTTTTCCATCCTGCCAGATCTAAATAATTCTTGTCGTAAAATAGGCAAACGGTCTGAGGTGCCTGATGTCCAGACATTCTTTTACACATCAGTCCCTTCCTAGTCTCTGTGCCCAGTGCAACTCGTCCCAAATCTTCCTTCTTTCCCTCCCGCCTGTACCCTCAGTACCAACCCCAAGCATTGCTGAGTCTTTCTAATCTTCCTTTTCTACAGACCAATCTGACCTCTCCCTTCCTCCCCAGGCTGCTCCTCGCCAGGCTGAGCTAGGTCCCAATTCTACCTCAGCCTCTGCTCCTCCACCCTATAATCTTTTTGTCACCTCCCCTCCTCACACCTGGTCCGGCTTACAGTTTCGTTCAGTGACTATCCCTCCCCATCCTGCCCAACAATTTACTCTTAAAAAGGTGGCTGGAGCTAAAGGCATAGTCAAGGTTAATGCTCTTTTTCTTTATCCCAAATCAGATAGCGTTTAGGCTCTTTTTCATCAAATATAAAAATCCAGCCCAGTTCATGGCTCGTTTGGCAGCAACCCTGAGACACTTTACAGCCCTAGACCCTAAAAGGTCAAAAGGCCGTCTTATTCTCAAAATACATTTTATTACCCAATCTGCTCCCGACATTAAATAAAACTCCAAAAATTAAATTCCGGCCCTCAAACCCCACAACAGGATTTAATTAACCTCGCCTTCAAGGTGTACAATAGAAAAAAGTTACAATTCCTTGCCTCCACTGTGAGACAAACCCCAGCCACATCTCCAACACACAAGAACTTCCAAACGCCTGAACCGCAGCAGCCAGGCGTTCCTCCAGAACCTCCTCCCCCAGGAGCTTGCTACATGTGCCGGAAATCTGGCCACTGGGCCAAGGAATGCCCGCAGGCCGGGATTCCTCCTAAGCTGTGTCCCATCTGTGTGGGACCCCACTGAAAATCGGACTGTTCAACTCACGTGGCAGCCATTCCCAGAGCCCCTGGAACTCTGGCCCAAGGCTCTCTGACTCCTTCCCAGATCTTCTCGGCTTAGCGGCTGAAGACCGACACTGCCCGATCACCTCGGAAGCCCCCTAGACCATTATGGACGCCAAGCTTTGGGTAACTCTCACAGTGGAAGGTAGGCCCGTCCCCTTCTTAATCAATATGGAGGCTACCCACTCCACATTACCTTCTTTTCAAGGGCCTGTTTCCCTTGCCTCCATAACTGTTGTGGGTATTGACAGCTAGGCTTCTAAACTTCTTAAAACTCCCCAACTCTGGTGCCAACTTAGACAATACTCTTTTAAGCACTCCTTTTTAGTTACCCCCACCTGCCCAGTTCCCTTATTAGGCTGAGACACTTTAACTAAATTATCTGCTTCCCTGACTATTCCTGGGCTACAGCCACACCTCATTGCTGCCTTTTCCCCCAGTTCAAAGCCTCCTTCACATCCTCCCCTTGTATCTCCCCACCTTAACCCACAAGTATAAGATACCTCTACTCCCTCCTTGGCGACCGACCATGCACCCCTTACCATCTCATTAAAACCTAATCACCTTTACCCCACTCAACGCCAATATCCCATCCCGCAGCACGCTTTAAAAAGATTAAAGCCTGTTATCACTCGCCTGCTACAGCATGTCCTTTTAAAGCCTATAAACTCTCCTTACAATTCCCCCATTTTACCTGTCCTAAAACCAGACAAGCCTTACAAGTTAGTTCAGGATCTGCACCTTATCAACCAAATTGTTTTGCCTGTCCACCCCGTGGTGCCAAACCCATATACTCTCCTATCCTCAATACCTGCCTCTACAACCCACTATTCTGTTCTAGATCTCAAACATGCTTTCTTTACTATTCCTTTGCACCCTTAATCCCAGCCTCTCTTCACTTTCACTTGGACTGACCCTGACACCCATCAAGCTTAGCAAATTACCTAGGCTGTACTGCCGCAAAGCTTCACAGACAGCCCCCGTTACTTCAATCAAGCCCAAATTTCTTCCTCATCTGTTACCTATCTCGGCATAATTCTCATAAAAACACACGTGCTCTCCCTGCAATCGTGTCCGACTGATCTCTCAAACCCAAGCACCTTCTACAAAACAACAACTCCTTTCCTTCCTAGGCATGGTTAGCGCGGTCAGAATTCTTACACAAGAGCCAGGACCACACCCTGTAGCCTTTATGTCCAAACAACTTGACCTTACTGTTTTAGCCTAGCCATCATGTCTGGGTGCAGCGGCTGCCGCTGCTTTAATACTTTTAGAGGCCCTCAAAATCACAAACTATGCTCAACTCACTCTCTACAGTTCTCATAACTTCCAAAATCTATTTTCTTCCTCATACCTGACGCATATACTTTCTGCTCCCCGGCTCCTTCAGCTGTACTCACTCTTTGTTGAGTCTCCCACAATTACCGTTGTTGCTGGCCCAGACTTCAATCCGGCCTCCCACATTATTCCTGATACCACACCTGACCCCCATGACTGTATCTCTCTGATCCACCTGACATTCACCCCATTTCCCCAAATTTCCTTCTTTCCTGTTCCTCACCCTGATCATGCTTGATTTATTGATGGCGGTTCCACCAGGCCTAATCACCACACACCAGCAAAGGCAGGTTATACTATAGTACAAGCCACTAGCCCGCCTCTTAGAACCTCTCATTTCCTTTCCATCGTGGAAATCTATCCTCAAGGAAATAACTTCTCAGTGTTCCATCTGCTATTCCACTACTCCTCAGGGATTATTCAGGCCCCCTCCCTTCCCTACACATCAAGCTCGAGGATTTGCCCCACCCAGGACTGGCAAATTAGCTTTACTAAACATGCCCTGAGTCAGATAACTAAAATACCTCTTAGTCTAGGTAGATACTTTCACTGGATAGGTAGAGGCCTTTTCTACAGGGTCTGAGAAGGCCACGGCAGTCATTTCTTCCATTCTGTCAGACATAATTCCTCAGTTAAGCCTTCCCACCTCAATACAGTCTGATAACAGATGAGCCTTTATTAGTCAAATCAGCCAAGCAGTTTTTCAGGCTCTTAGTATTCAGTGAAACCTTTATATCCCTTACGGTCCTCCGTCTTCAAGAAAAGTAGAATGGACTAAAGGTCTTTTAAAAACACACCTCACCAAGTTCAGCCACCAAAAAGGACTGGACAATACTTTTACCACTTTCCCTTCTCAGAATTCAGGCCTGTCCTCGGAATGCTACAGGGTACAGCCCATTTAAGCTCCTGTATAGACGCTCCTTTTTATTAGGCCCCAGTCTCATTCCAGACACCAGACCAACTTAGACTGTGCCCCCAAAAACTTGTCATCCCTACTATCTTGTCAAGTCATACTCCTATTCACCGTTCTCAACTACTCATACATGCCCTGCTCTTGTTTACACTGTTTTTCCAAGCCATCACAGCTGATATCTCCTGGTGCTATCCCCAAACTGCCACTCTTAACCCTTGAAGTAAATAAATAATCTTTGCTGGCAGGACTATGCTGAATCTCCTTAGGCACTCTCTAATCAGATATCCTGAGTAGTCCCAATTCTTAGACCTTTTATACCTGTTTTTCTCCTTCTGTTATTCCATTTAGTTTTTCAATTCATCCAAAACCGTATCCAGGCCATCACCAATCATTCTATACGACAAATGTTTCTTCTAACAACCCCACAATATCACCCCTTACCACAAGACCTGCCTCCAGCTTAATCTCTCCCACTCTAGGTTCCCACGCCGCCCCTAATCCTGCTTGAAGCAGCCCTGAGAAACATCGCCCATTCTCTCTCCATACCACCCCCCAAAAATTTTCGCCGCCCCAACACTTCAACACTATTTTATTTTTCTTATTAATATAAGAAGGCAGGAATGTCAGGCCTCTGAGCCCAAGCCAAGCCATCGCATCCCGTGACTTGCACGTATACACCCAGATGGCCTGAAGTAACTGAAGAATCAAAAGAAGTGAATATGCCCTGCCCCACCTTAACTGATGACATTCCGCCACAAAAGAAGTGTAAATGGCTGGTCTTTGCCTTAAGTGATGACATTACCTTGTGAAAGTCCTTCTCCTGGCTCATCCTGGCTCAAAAAACACCTCCATTGAGCACCTTGCGACCCCCACTCCTGCCCACCAGAGAACAAACCCCCTTTGACTGTAATTTTCTTTTACCTACCCAAATCCTGTAAAACGGCCCCACCCTTATCTCCCTTCGCTGACTCTCTTTTCAGACTCAGCCCGCCTGCACCCAGGTGAAATAAACAGCCATGTTGCTCACACAAAGCCTGTTTGGTGGTCTCTTCACACGGATGCACATGAAACTAATGATAAAATCTCCCTATATAGATAGTTAACAGCTGAAGTAGTTAAAGCACGGGCTCTCTCCAGGGGCAGCTATTAAGCACTTCAAATACTTCGAATTATATTTGCACCTGAGGGTTAACTAATATAAGGAATATCAGAAATAATATTTTAGTGGTGAAATGGTGTTCTTTGTATGTGGTGGCTTAAAATATTAATATTTTATGGCCACTGCTGCACTTTCATAAATGGAATATAAGAATCATGAGTCTAGCTGCTTAACAACAGAATATCTAGAACTCGATTTTATCTGTGCCTTGTCTTAATGTAGGACTCTGCCTTCCAATGTAGATGAAAAATAACAGATTCTACATGAGTATATTGTTTCATATGCTTCAGGGTAAAATTGTGATATAGAGTGCTTCAAAATATACTTAAAAGTAACGAGAGTTGCGATTCACCCAGCTTACAGGAATAGGTTATATGACTGATCTTTGAGCCTGCTTGCTAGTAAATATTATATGTGTGGCAGGATTCAGTTGGGATTTGCTTTTATTATGCAGTATCACCTAGTGGCAAAGTCTTAGCGGAAGAGATGTATAACTGGCACCAAGTAATATTTATCTTAACTCAGTTTGAAATCTTCCCTCCTCCTGCATTCCCTACCTCACCTGACCATGAGAAAGTAATTACAGAATCAAAAAGTCTTTGCATGTCCCTTGTAAAATATTATATTTTATTTATGTAAATTATATATGTACACACACATACACACCCACCTATATACATATTCCAGTTTGGTGGTTAAATTAATGAAAATATTAATATAACACAATAGAGAACACAGTTTGATGTTAAGAGATGTTCTTAGTGGGCAAATTAAGCAAATAAAATTATTAAGTGAATTGAGTGCATAGCAAATTAATTGGTTCACAGATTTTGTACTTGACAAGAATTTTAAAGGCCCAGAAAGATAATTTCTCTGTCTCAAGCAAACTGATTCAGTACATCGCAAATGCTTTTATCTTTCTTGGGAAGAAATGCTGTAGTCTTTCTTTGAGAACAAGGTTGTTTTAAGCATTGTTTTTATTGACAGCAATGAATGAAACATCTTACCTCCAAATGATATCCAACTCTGATGAAGGCACAAACTGGATCAAAAGCTCCAGTACCACAGGTCAGAAGGTGTGTCCTGTTATAGTGATGCAAAACCCGAACATAATTTGCACATTCACCCTAAAGCAGGAAAAAAAGGGAAGGAATCTATCAGTATAATAAACATGTTTCGTCCTTTTTGATTTTTGTTTTTCCTAGCCCTAGAAAGCTCATGTTTTACCGTAAATCTCTGTTGGGTGAAGGAGGCAAGAGGGGTAGAAGAAAAGAGGACAAGAACTTGGAGAAGAAACTGGGGTGATTGAAACACATTTTGGTTAGCAGTGATGTGTAAATTACATTTTATAATGAGACTGCATCATTTTTCATGTATTCTAGTTTACAACTGAGGAATAAAAAAAGCACTATTCAGAAATTTCTTCAAGTGTAAAAATTCTCATGACAATATGTTCCACTAAGTAATTAAGTTATTCCCAATGCTGTTAGTTTTTTAAGTACAGTATAAACAATGAATCAGCATAAAGTCATTAAAACCAAAAATTTGAAAAAGCATAGTTATTCATATGGAAATATGCAGTCTTTTTTTTTTTTTTTTTTTTTTCCCAAGACAGGGTCTCACTCTGTTGCCCAGGCTGGAACACAGTGGTGTAATTTCAGCTCACTGCAGCCTCGCATTCCCAGGCTCAAGTGATCCTCCCACCTCAGCCTCTGGAGTAGCTGCAACTACAGGCATGTGCCACCATGCCCAGCTAATCTTTTTGTATCTTTTGCAGAAATGGGGTTTCCCCATGTTGCCCAGGCTAGTCTCAAACTCCTGGGCTCAAGCGATCTGCCTGCCTCAGCCTCTCAAAATATGTAGTCTTTAGGGCAAACAGAATTTTAATGTTTTGGAAAGTAAGTCTTATATTCTCACACTCACAAATTCACATAAAGCACCTTCAGAGAGAATTGTTAAGTAAATATGGAAAACTAACCAACAAAAATAACATTTTGTTGCAGGACTATGATAAGATTACTATATTGCTGTAAGAAATAGTAGTAGACTGGGGATCAGCAAACTTTTTCTGTAAAGGACGAGAATGTAAATGTATTTAGTTTGATGAGCTATCTGGTCTCTGTTGCAACTATTCACCTTTGCAGCTATAGCATGAAAGGAGCCATAAACAATACAAAACTAAATGTGTGGGGCTGTGTTCAAATAAAACTTTATTTACAAAAATAGGCAAAAAGCCACCTTCGGCCTAGAAGCTCTAGTTTGTCAACACTGGTATTCAACTCTAAGCTTCTTGAGGGCAGAATCTATTTTACGCATCTCGGCATTTCCCAGTTAATTGAGCACAGCACCTAATACATAACATGCTTAACAAAGTTTTAATATATTCATCAGTAAATGAATTTTATGATCAGTATACTGAATTTAAAAAAATAGTTTACAATAGCTTTCAAAATCAACTTGGCTAAATTAATTTTAGCAAGCATTCTTTTGACAAATTAGGTGTTGCCATTCCATTAAAAATAAATTATGAAATAAATACTAAACTCTTTTAGTGCCCAGTATTACTTGAAATCAATACATGCAATCATCAGTTACTGTCACGTTTTATAAGGACCTGTTGTGATTTCAGCACTTTAAAGTCTATCCTATAACAGTATTAGGAGGAAAAGGCCAGTGGAATCACTTGGCTAGAATGAGGAGTGCACTATCGAATTGATTATCCAGAGCACACAGGTACACTTATTTCTTCAAGTTTGCATTCACATGATATTTTATTCTTTGGGTGACCCATATATTTGGTAGAATCTTTTCATTCAGGCATGGTGAAAATATGTGTTGTTTATTTCCATAAGCACCTGCACTTCCTCTCTTGACACACCGTCACATCTGAGAGGGAACCTATTAGACCACATTTTGGCTCAGCTGAGCTAGATTGACATGGCCTAAGAATATGTTCAATTAGTCAGCATCATGCTGTGGGCTAAGGCAACAGGAATGTGCTGACTCACTCCTTGGCTGTGACCCAGCTGCTACAGAGAATGAGGAGTTGGTATAATGTGTGTTAGTCATTTATATAGTTTTTTTTTTTTTAACTGAAAAAAAGGTTAAGTTCACTTTCACAGGCAGATGTCTAGGACTTCCTCCAGGGTGCATTTGTGTCACAAAATCAGCTAGCCACTGCTCGCATGTGAAAGTTCTATCACTGATGTCTTAGTGTGTTAGGGACTGTGTCTGGGTGCTGATACACAGCATTCTGCCACTCACACCCAGCAGGGAAACTACAGAAAGAGAGAATAATGCTTCTTAAAGTAGAAGAGACCCTAAAAATATTTAGGAATAGGTAAAATGTGTTTATTGCCTCTCTCAAACTTTTTGTTTCTTCATTCATTTCTAATTTACTAAACAATGTAAAGTGAAATCTCACAAAGAATGTGCTTAACTGTTCCTAGAAAAAAAAAATTACCTGCAATTATTTTTCTGCCAAATACATGAGAAATAAGCATTAGTATAAGGAATGTATAAACCCAAGTTGATTAAGATATTAGAAAACAAAATAAAAACCAAGATCTCAATGGCATCTCTGCTTCAACTCTACATTGAAATTAATTTTACATAATTATGTTTTATATGCCTATATATTTTTTCTTCATGAACCAAATTGCATACATACTTTTATAAGAGCAAATAAAAATTTCAGTGATTCAGTTCTTTGTGGTTAACTAGGGATATAATTGATGATTTGTTTAATTTACAATGAATCATACTTACCGCATCTTTTCCCTTCATTATGCATTCTTCCATTTTTAGAGCTGTACTCGGCCAGTGTATCTAAAATAAAAGATAATGTACTATTATGACAACTGCATATAAAAATAAACCACACTGAAAACCATTTCACTTTCTTCTACAGTTCAAAACATTTCCTTTTTTTTTTTTTTCTGTTTTCTGATAAGATACAGTGGGTCTTTGTGTTATTCACAGAATTATTTGCATAATTAAGAAACGTATCGCTGGGCTTTTACTTTATGATAAATCCTTTTTTTTCTTGAATATTTTTGAAAGCTCACTTCAAGTCTTGGCCCTTCAGAGGACAGCCATGCCTTAACTAGCCCTTTCCCATGTTAAACCTGAGTGGTGCTCCAACTCAGGCACCTCCTGCAGTTTCTTGTGTTTTTACTACTTAACACAGAACCTGCTGTGTGGTGGGCTCTCCTAATGTTTGCTGCATACAATGATTAAAGGATGAATGACTCTTTAAATGCTGACTTATAATGTATCATCCAGTAATACACCATACTGTCTCTTTGATTATTTATTTATTTATTATCTTTTATTTTTTTGAGGTGGATTCTGGCTCTGTCACCCAGGCTGGAGTGCAGCGGTGTGATCTCGGCTCATTGCAGCCTCCGCCTCCTGGGTTCAAGCAATTCTCCTGCCCCAGCCTCCCGAGTAGCTGGGACTATGGCCCACCCAGCTAATTTTTTTGTATTTTTAGTAGAGACAGGGTTTCACAGTGTTAGCCAGGATGGTCTCGATCTCCTGGCCTCGTGATCTGCCTGCCTCGGCCTCCCAAAGTGATTATTTTTTAAAAAACATTGTTTAACTCTACCAGTTTCCAACTGGGTATCCAAAAGTTTTAATTGTATTTTAAGATTGTTGGTTTCTTCCTTTATACATTCCTTAAAACTTATATTTTAAGTTTGTTGGTTTATTCTCTGATAAGAAGAATATATCGAATTTTTCTTTTTCACCTCTAATAGTATCTAGCACTTTCCTGAGACCACAAGCAGAAATCAGTTATACTTGTTAACTGGTTCCACAAATTTCTAATTGCAAAACTTAATTTATTTTTGGAAGAAATTTTTTACTTTATCACTTTCTTTCCTTTTCTTTTCTCAGACTCCTTTTGGTCCCCTTTTTGCTTAATCTATAGAATTGATTGTACTATGTGCCAGGCATTGTGTTTTGAACTTTATTTTATTTTTTCCTTCTTTTGCTTTATCAACTTACGTGCAGAGGTTTGAGTTTGTTATATTACTCAATTCATAATTCATTTTCATCAACACTCTTAAAAGGTCCCTCTTTTATTTTAGTTAATTATTTATTTCCTTCTTCCCATTCCATGTTTTATTTCCATCCCCCAGGAGGCAACTATTGTATCCTGTTACCAGGTGCCTTCTTTGTATGTATTCTTAGAAAGTGTATACTATTGCTTTTTGTGCATATATTTCTAATTTATGTAAATAGTATTGAAGTTAAATCTCATCTCTTTCTTATCTTTTTCACTAAGAACTGGGTTTTTGAGTTCCCTCAATAGTCCTATGCACACATATAGTCTGCTGTTTCTGAGTGTTTTGTAATGTTAAGGTGTGGTTCCCCCACATTTTCTTTTTTTTTTTTTTTTGGATCTTAAAGTGGAAAACATGTTTATTAACATTCAAACTCCCCTCATACAAGGCCATATAAAAATCCTTAGCATTTTGATTATACATTAGTCTACATTTTCTACATAGTTACAATGATGTATAATTTAGCTTTTCATAATACAGTGTTTCAATACATCATTAGTTCTGTTAAACATAAGTCACTTACTTTCAAATCCAATACTTGAACAGTTTTCTCTGTACATAGTTTAGCAGGGCTAATTAGCATAAGATGCTATTTGTTAAGAGGTATATGATCTGAGTATTAACAGTTGCTGAAGTTTGGTATTTTTATGCAGCATTTTCTTTTTGCTTTGATAACAACACTACAGAACCCTTAAGGACACTGAAAATTAGTAAGTAAAGTTCAGAAACATTAGCTGCTCAATCAAATCTCTACATAACACTATAGTAATTAAAACATTAAAAAAAAAGTGTTGAAATCTGCACTAGTATAGACCGCTCCTGTCAGGATAAGACTGCTTTGGAACAGAAAGGGAAAAAACAGCTTTGAGTTTCTTCGTGCTGATAGGAGGAAAGGCTGAATTACCTTGTTGCCTCTCCCTAATGATTGGCAGGTCGGGTAAATGCCAGAACATATTCCAACTCAACAACTCTAGGTAACTTTATGGAGGTGGAAGCTGGGTTAGTTCATGCTAGGTGGCTGTAGCACTGACCTCATGTACAAAACTCAAAACACTTAAATACTGTGATCTAAGTCTTAATTGCAAGCTATACTGAGGATTTTTTTGTTTGTTTGTTTTGGCTATACTTTCATTCCAAAAGAAGAGCTGAATTGATGTTTGAGTTACAGCACCAGTCTATTATTAGTGAATGAAGTATACTCTTGCAGATAAATACCAGATCAAAAATCCCATTTCAGTAATTTGATTAAACTGTAGAATACTAAAAAATAAGGTATTTCTACAGAAATCTTTGAAGGGAGCAAAAAATCAAATTACAGTATATACCTAAATATTTTAAAGTGAAATAAACCAATCATCTTCTGAAAGTCAAACAGTATTTGCTATGTTGTAATCCCATTCACCATTAGGCTGCAACTGGACCACGACATCATGTTTATTAATTTCATTTTCTGCATCACTACTGTCAGTATCTTCATTGTCGTCTTCCTATTTTCTTATCAACTCTCCCAGCGATGGATACCCAGATTGCTTCCAAGTCTCTATCACATCAAACAAATTGTTACCTTTTTGTACATGCCCTTTTTGGATCTGTGTAAGAAAATCGTTGGTATATATACACAACAGAAGAATTACTGCTCTCCGAAATGGCTACATGTCTATACCAGCAATCCATGCCCCCATACCCTCACTTAGCATGATCAACTTTTCCAATTTTGGTGTCAGGTGCTTTAAATACAATATCTAATTTAATCCTTACCACAACTTTATCAAAGAGATGCTATTATTTTGGGAGTTTCTTTTAAAAATTCATATTTATCTGTGGAAACCCACACTGCAATAAATATATGGGTGGAAACAAAGGAATATGATCCATTTGAGTAACTAACTGTAGCAACTGGTCAGTTCCCAAATGTTTTTGTGGCTCAAGAGCTTAAGTCTCCTACTTAATATTGTTTATCCCCACATCTGCTGAATCAATCACCTTCCCTCACCAGAATGAAAAAGCTCAGTCCACCTCCTTTCTTAAGTTCCCTCGGAATTTCAAGGGAGCACCATCTGATGTATCAATTTCATGGGCTTGGCTGGTCAGGTGATTTATCTTGGAGGGATGGTGTTTCTCACCGAAACACTCTACAGTTTTTACTTAATTGCCTCCATTGAAGCCAGATGATATGGTTAGGCTATGTGTCCCCACTCAAATCTCATCTTGAATTGTAATTCCCATAATCCCCATTTTTCAAGGGAGAAACCAGGTGGAGGTAATTGAATCATGGAGGCCGTTTCCCCCATGCTGTTCTCGTGATAGTGAGTGAGTTCTCACAAGATCTGATAGTTTCATAAGGGGCTGTTCCCCCTTGGCTTGGCACTGCTCCTTCCTGCTACCTTGTGAAAAAGGTGCTTTGTTTCCCCTTCAGCTTCCACCATGATTGCAAGTTTCCTGAGGCCTCCCTGGCAATGCTGAACTGTGAGTCAATTAAACCTCTTTCCTTTAAAAATTATCCAATCTTGGTAGTTGTTTATAGCAGTATGAAAACGGACTAATACCACAAGCTACCTAAGAATTTTTCTGATTCCCTTTTGTAGGAAGTCACTTTTCATTGTCAAGTTAACATTTTGATGAAGGAGTGAAAATAACACAGCCAAGTAGCATGGGCCTCTCAAGATATCATTAACATTTTTACAAACAGCTTCTTTCTCCTCAGGATGCTTAAGAGTCCTCAGAGACCTTAGTTAAGAAGGATTCAGGTACAGCCTTTTCCAGTCCAGTGTCAATGTGTACTGTTGTTAGACTGTATTGCTAGGCCTGTGACAGTAAGACAGACTCTTCTCCTGTCTACAGCAGTTTGTTTGTTCCCTTAAAGTCTCTATTATCTTCTGCCTCCCCTTCCTCTATCCATCACCATCCCAGCTTATGCTCTGTCAGCCTGGAAAGATATTCTGATTATCAAACAAAATATTAGATGTTGCTGATTGGCGGTATTTTTTATTTAGTGGCAAATTGTAATTATTTTTAGGCTAGGAGCCAGCATTTAAAAATTTAAAAATCTTGCATAAAAATCCATATTTCTGATTTCCCTAAAAATATGATGAAATGCAACACTAGGCATGCATTCCTGTGCGGAAATATTCCTCTGGAGTTGAAATGGAACAGATATTCTGATTTGTTTCAGACTTTTCTTTTACACGAATGATTCCTATAGGTATTTTAGTTTCTAAAATCTCATATTTGTTTGAATCCTAAATATGTTCAAGATTCAGCTTTTTTAGGACAGGTGAGGTGGCTCATGCCTGTAATCCCAGCACTTTGGGAGGCCGAGGCGGGTGGACCACCTGAGGTCAGGAGTTTGAGACCAGCCTGGCAAACATGGTGAAATCTTGTCTCTATGAAAAATACAAAACTAGCCAGGCGTGGTGGTGTGCACCTGTAGTCCCAGCTGCTCCAAGGGTGAGGCAGGAGAATTGCTTGAACCTGGGAGATGAAGCTTGCAGTGAGCCAGGATCCTGCCACTACACTCCAGCCTGGGCAACAGAGTGAGACTCTATCTCAATTAAAAAAAAAAAAAAAAAAAAAGAAAAATAAGACGTATGCTTTTTCTTTTTCTTAAAGCCATGCCCCATAAAATATCAGATAAGGCATGTAAATCCCAGAAGTGAAAGAGGCTTGTCACTTAACTTATACATTATGTAGCCAAATCCATTTCCTGATACATGAGTAATAATGGGAATTTATCAAAGTGATGATAGTAGCATTTTATAGTGATAAATGCTATCTGATTTAATTTATTATCATAGAAACAAGCACTCTATGTTTTGAATTATAGGTATAAAATATTACTTCGATGTTGTTATTCATTGGTGCAATGAGCCCCAAGCAGTTTTTTACTAACAATATTCAGCATCATGTGTTCTTTAATTTTCATAGTGCAATGTATAAACTTTTAAAGGAAAACACAGTTTTGGCATATAAACTTTAAGTGAAAACACAGTTTTGTTTTTGATGTTGCAACACAAGAAAAGATAAACAGAGAAAAATGGTGATATAAAAGAAAACCAACCCTAAAGCAAAAAGCACACACATAAAATCCTAGAAAAGATGTTGATGTTAGCAATGAATCCATCAGTGGGTCATGCATGATTTAGGAAAGATATCAGTCAATATCTGGTTACAATGCAGCTTTGCATACACCTGAGAGGAGTCACTGACCCCACTATAGGTCGAATCCTAGAAGTGAAGCTGCAGAGTTTATAAGCTTTACCTGATCTATTATTTTGGAAAATCATTCTCAAACTGACAGATAGATTTTAAGAAATAATTTGTAAGACCCATTCTAATTTGACATTCAATTTGATTTGGGAATTATTATTTTACTGTGGATGTATAAATTATTCAAATGTATATGCTAGAGCATGTGCATGTATATATAGACTATACAAATATGTATACATATTTATTATATATATATAATAAAATACAAATTCATTTAGGATCATCTATCAGGAAAGATTTTCATGACTAATTCCCTTATCAATATGACTAGAATAGATAATCCCTCATCCATAATTCAGAATAATGCATTACGGTTATTACATAACTTACGAGATATAGGCTGGGCTTCTTTTTACAATATTAGCATCCCTTCTTACTCATTTTTCATTATTATGTAAAATGAAGGCTTCTTTAAACTTTAGTTTTACTGCATATTATTCTGTATTCCCCTAAATACTGGCTTCAAAATGATCATTTCCAGTTAAACACACTGTTTAGGGGTTAATTCTCCATAGCGTTTTTATACATCTTTTGACGGCTTTTGTTCCAGAATATCTTTTCAAATAGCCTGAAAAGATAGAGACAGAATCTCCCTCCAGGGCAAATGGAAGATTTGTTTCCTGACCAGGATAGTAAAGATTCGATCTCCCCCTAGACAAAGTTTAGACAGTTTTGCTAACAGCCCCCTTATAAGATTGGGAGTTTCCTAAGCTTGGAGTCCCTCAGGTGTGACACGTATCCACTGAGTGCGGTGTCTACCTAGGCTGCCACGCATCACCCCCTGCAGGACCGGAGGGGCAAGGACACTGATGGAAACAAGAAGCTCTTGCTGCCTGCTGTGTGCCATGAGTAATAGTCTTTCGTCTCTGACCCAAGAGTCTAATGTTTTCTGACAGCATCTATGTAACTGTGACAGGCTAACCTGTCTTGAGAGCAAGATAAAATCTCAGACCCTTCACAGTTTTTGTCACAAAGATAAGATATTATGTGATGGTGAAGACAATAATGGCTTTTCTAGGATTGCCAGAACATGCATTGTTCCTAGCAGCAAAACTAATAATGGCAATTGCTGTAAGAATAACAAAACTATTCTTTCAGGTGCATTTCCCAAAGAGTTTCACAACAAAATCTTTGCTGATATTTTTTCAACGGACAGTATTTCTCACTCCTTTGATCCCTCATAGTGTTCTTATTTTCTCTATCTAGGATAGCGATGATTTGTGTACTTAATTTTAGCTCTCTTATTAGACTATAAATTACAGAGGGCAAGGCAGTGACTTATTTCTGTCTCACTACCAGTGCCTATCTGGCACAGTGTCTTAAGCACAGTCTCTGCTTTTCAACGTCCATTGATTGGCTTGTATCAGTCAATATGCCTTTTATCACATTCTTAGTGAAGTCAGTCTGTCAAAGGAGATTACAGTAAAGTTTGAGAAATCAGGTTCATTGACATGAAAATGCTGTAACATGTTAAATGAATAAAACAAGTAAAATTTTCCAGTTTAATCGGAAGGAAATACTGTAGGATTTTAGCAATAACCCCGGCTCTGAAAGACTTGTAGGATTTCTGAGGAAAGGTAGATGGATGTTTAACAGATCACTCTTGAGTAGATGGAAGAAAGACAGAAAAGTATGAACACTCTCTACAGTAAAGTTCAACACATGGGGACCCTCCAAAGGAATAACAGAAATATAGGTTTACCAAAGTTTTTTTCTTGTTATTTTGGTTTGTTTGGTATTTTAAAACAGTTTAATAGGCTCAGGACTGCAACCAAACGTTAACTCAGGTGACAATATATGGCAAAGAAAGACCTCACTGGAAATGGAAAGTTATTTTTAAAGCCATCACGTAAAAATGTTCTGCCAAGCTAGTAAGGGAAATGATTTCCTTCATTTGTTTTGGCAGTCAGGATGCCTTTTGGTTCTGCTCCAGAGTTTAGCATCAACAAAACCCCATAAAATTAAGCTATTTGTTCTGCACAAAACATTTTTAAAGGCAGTTAAACAACAGGGTATAATGTGATTTCCAAAATCTCTGTACCAAAAAAGATACAAAAGCAAAAGGTTAAATACACATCATTTCATCACAATACCCCTACAATATAATTTAATCATTCCGCTGCACATTAACAAGCCATTTACTATTCTTGCATATTTCAACGGAGAAAAATAAAATAAAGTATAAATTAAATTACAAGGTAATTTTTTTCTGGACTCCCTACTGAGTCACATAATTATACCAGGATTAAGGATCTAACAGCTTATTGTTACAAGACGTTATGACACTCAGAGATTTAGGAGAGTGCAAACAAACTAACGAATATGAAATAATTTTTTAATTGTCTAAAAATTAGATTATCTTTTTATTTAAAGAGTAAATAAAACAATTCAGTTAATATAAGTCTATCTTCATAGAATATATTTTAAGTGACTAAGCCTCTATAATTTTATCTTATATTCTCTTCCTATTTCTATTATTCTAATGAAAAGTGTTTGCCTATATTTGGGGTTTTCTTTCTGTATTTACATCTATGTGTGGCACCAGTGTCCATCAATGTACATCTTAATTATAGATCCTATAAATATTATTAAAAACAAGAAAATATATTTTGAATAGAACACATTAAAATAGTCTTAATGGTTTATAAATGATAATCTTTAACCTGACACACATTATCTGTCATTATGTTTATGCCTTTATACTTAATTATAATAACTGTCATTACTCAAGCAGTTTATGTGCCAGAATTATAATATTTTGAACTATAGACAAAATTTGTATTTTAAAAAGCTTATTCTCCTAAGCATTTGAACTAGAAAAATATGATAACTACACACAAACATTTGTAGCCTGATGCATGGCCTTTTGTATGGATAAAATTTACTCAATTGGTATAATTAATGTGAAATGCCATCTGACATTTATGTACAAATTGTACATAAATGCCTTTCTTCTACTCGATAAAAAATTAAATTCTAAAATACAAGAACTTTTTACACCTTTGATACAATAAAGTTGAATAAATGAGAAAGGCATAAATATTTTTATAAACAGAATTATCTAACAGAACTATAATATATATAGATATACAAATTAAGTAATGTAATTTTGGCTTTTTTTTTTTGAGACGGAGTTTCACTCTTATTGCTCAGGCTGGAGTGCAATGGCACAATCTCGGCTCACTGCAACCTCCACCTCCCAGGTTCAAGTGATTCTCCTGCCTCAGCCTCCCAACTAGCTGGGATTACAGGCACCTGCCACCACGCCCTGCTAATTTTTTTGTATTTTTAGTAGAGATAGGGTTTCTCCATGTTGGCAAGGCTGGTCTTGAACTCCTGACCTCAGGTGATCTGCCCGCCTTGGTCCCCCAAAGTGGTGGAATTACAGGCGTGAGCCACCGTGCCGGGCCCAATTTTAGCTTTAAATTATAGTAGTGAGAATAATTTTAGAAAAACAAGCTGAAATTTAGAAAGATAAAAACTATAGATCAAAGTTTCTGAAACTGAAAGTTTATTACCAAATATGAAATATTCTATGAGTTCCCCAAAATATGGCTTAAATATAAACATTTTCATTTTTTATTTTTTCATGAAATGAAAAAAAGAAAATAAAATTTTATACATTAAACAAGTATTCATATCTTCCAGAGAATAATTTTGACTTATTTTTTAGGAAGTCTTAGTAATTTTCAAATGTGTACAGATTGCAAGGGGCTATTCATACAGAACATAGACAGGATAATCTGTTACCTGTGGTTGAATACTGGCGTCTTCTGGGGCTCTCAGCCCTTATTATAAGTAAACAAAGGGTGTACAGTTACATCTAATACCAGTCGGTGGTTCTTCTCTACTACTGTCACTAGCAACTAATTGTTCTACTAGTTCATAACTATTACTAGGGTAAAATGCAGCCATGCAAAGGGAATAAGAGCCAAGGAGAAAGAAACACCTCATAACAAAAGCAGAACTAGCAAAACTAATGGCACACTGAAGACCAATATGGGAGACAGGAAGTTGATCTCAAAGCAATAACCTGGTTCTCAGTGATGGCTTCTAATACAGATGTACCTGGTTTTAAATTCTAACTGCTACTTACTGGCCTCATGGCTCTATTCTCATTTTCCATCCATTTATTCATCATGCTGCTGCCAAAGTAATCACTAAACTACAATTCTAATTATTTATGCCCATATTGAGAATCCACCAGTGACTCCTGCATTGCCTAGAAGATTCCGTTTCAACAGCATTGCAGTCAGTATTCTTCACGAACTAGTCTGTGGTTTCCATCCTTAACCCTTACTGCATACCCTCTTCCCACCCACATGTCGCCAACCCATCTATTTACTTCAGCCGAAAACATCAGTCATTATTCTATACTGCTCTAAAATTTCTGTCCTTCCTACCCCTGCTTTCTCTGTTCTCACTCTCAATCAAAATTCTATTATTCAAAGCCCAATTTAAAGTATATCTCCTCCAGGAACCACTCCTCCGAAACTTTCTTAGCATTTTATTTGAACCTTTATTGTCTATTCAAATTGTGCCACCTATGGCACATGTATATCTATCTATCTTGTCTACTGTATTATAAATATTTTAGGGTAGGCACTGTTTTATTCATTTTTGCTTACTTCATATCCCCATATATGTTTCTAGAACTTAGTTAAGTAACACCTAAAAATATGTAATACTTCTATCCCTCACTTTCTATGGTAGCACATTAGAATCATCTAGCTTCAGTTATAACAATGAAGATAGTAAATATTAAGGCGGTGCTTACTATGTTCCAGGCACTGTTCTGGGCACTTAATAACTCACCTAATCTTCTCACAAAAGCTAAGAGAAAGATACTATGGATATCTGTTCTTACAGTTAAGAGAACTGAGAAACAGAGCTGTGGACTAATTTGCCTGGAATCTCTCATTTAATAAGAGGTAGTGTTCAGATGGGAGCCCTAACAATGTGGCTATAGAATCCGTGTTCTTTGCTGTTACACTCTGGTCTCTGCTCTCTTCAAAAAGTCCTCTAATATAATTGAATTAAAATAAGTTAAAATGAAAACTAAAATTAACATGTTGGCTTCAATTGTTAAACACAATAAGGAAACACAAATACATAAGATCTAGTGCTTCTTTTTGGTAAATATAAATAAATATGATGAATATGAATAACTAAAAAAGTTTTTCTCATAGAAAAGAGAAAATGGCAGAAAAATGCTTTCAACACTTTCAGGTGCAATGTGGAAAATCTTACCATGCATAATATTCAGAGGAATTTTATTTTTGGTTAATACTAATTTTAGCTGACTAAACAATATTATCACAACCACTATTTTAAAATGCCATTATAGGCTGGGCACAGTGGCTCACGCCTGTAATCCTAGCACTTTGAGAGACCTAGGCAGGTAGATTACCTGAGGTCAGGAGTTCGAGACCAGCCTGGCCAACATGGTGAAACTGTCTCCACCAAAATTACAAAACAAAATTAGCTGGGTGTGGTGGCACACACTTGTAGGGGCCAAGGCAGGAGAATCAATTGAACCCTAGAGGCAGAGGGTGCAGTGAGCCGAGTTCGTGCCACTGTACTCCAGCCTGGGTGACAGAGTGAGACTCTGTCTAAAATAAATAAATAAATAAAACGCTATTAGTATTAAGATGTTTTAAAGTCACAGGGAATGTTTTTTCTATACTTTTTTTTTCTTCAAAGAATTGTTTGAATTACAGCTAACAGAATAGTTGTGTAAATAGTGGGTTGGCTGTAACAAAATAGCAAGATATTTTGTAGTTATTATTTTTGTTTTTGGATTTCCCTAAATATATTTTTGATATAGCTAAAATATTCAATTTTCTATGAATTGCTTTTTTAGCTATTTAAAACTTAACAATTTTACTGAATCTATTTAAGTCTTCTTAGACTTAAGTTCAATTAAATTTTACCAGCAACTGAAGTTTAAATAACTATGCATTATGTAGAAATAAAATTTAATTCTGCTTAATGAAAGCTCCTAACCAGAAAATCTAGTCATAACATAATAAAATATCATTATCTCTTCTGGTCGCATCTTGAAATTACAAGTTATAAATAAATTGCAGGGAATGGGTGTGGGAAGAAACATATACATTTATTTTCAAATTATCTATTAATAGATTAGATGTTCTTCCTCAATATAAAACTATATTTAATAATTGAATAGTAAGTGAAAGAAAACTTAATGAGGACTCTTTTAATAAAAGAAAAATGAACGGCAATTTAAACATGAATAGCCATGAATGCCAATGGTTAGAGCCCCATCCCAATTTAGAGACTTTGAAGCTTATAAACACTTTTTTTTAAGAGACAAATGCAGATGTGGGTTGAATCTATGGTCAATCAAGCGAAAAATGTCTACGAGGATGTTTTGTTTTTCCCTTTCCAAGTATTCTATCCATACAAGATCCTGATATTGTCACATTATGATCAGAAAGTCTCAGATGCTTTAATTTTTTACTTAGACAATAGTTTTCTTTAGTTCAGCCCAAGGTCTTTTTGCACTAAAGGACACTAGAGAAAGCAAAATAAATAAATAAATAAATAAAACAAAAACACGTTTTTTTTCAATTTCTTAAAACGTTAAATCAGAATTTGATTGAAATCAAAATTCTCATCTAAGAAGTCTTACATTATCTGGGGATTTTAGAGACTTTTACATAGAGTAAAATGCAAAAACTATTCTCTTTGAGGAGGTGGGAGATTCTCACATTAGATAACGCAAATGGAGTTACTAAATTGGAAGTTTTAGAGTGAAGAGTATGCTTTAGCATCAGCACTGAGTTTTGCAATTTATAGTGAGGGTTTAGGGTCTTTAATGAATGTTATATACGTGCAACAGAGCAGAAGTTCATTGGGAAAGAGTATGATCACATGGTCTGGGAAATGCAGTGAGTTAAATAATTTAGAAAGCAAAGCCATTATCTAAAAACACTAATACAATACAATAAGTTTATTAAATTACAGATTCTTATCTATTTCAAAGTTGTATGGAAAAATTATTCTTATAAGTGTGCATATTCATATAAGTTCTGGTTATTATTTAGAAAATAATTATTTAGTACCACATATAGGACTGGTATTTCCAAGACCAGCAAGGATAGTTAATACCCCAGCATTTCACAACCCTCATGCACATTACAATCACCTGGGAGAGTTTCAAAAAGTACCACTATTTAGTCCTCACATCAGTTTAGAGGTAGAGCCTAAACACAGATATTATTTACACAATCCTTAGGTGTTTACTAATGTGCAGCCAAGGTTGCAATTACTGCCACACTGTGAAACAGGATTCTTACCCTGTTTGCCAGAGGAGAAGTGGGTAGGTGGTGGATAGGTGGCTTGGGATGTAAGGGTAAGAAGAAGGGAGACAAAATTAACCTAAACGAAATTCAACAATAACTAGTCTGAAAGTGGCTGTGATAATAAGCACAGTAAGATTTGCAAGAGGCCAGGCGCAGTGGCCCACGTCTGTAATCCCGGCACTTTGGGAGGCCGAGGCGGGTGGATCACGAGGTCAGGAGATTGAGACCATCCCAGCTAACAGGGTGAAATCCCGTCTCTACTAAAAATACAAAAAATTAGCCGGGTGTGGTGGCGGGTGCCTGTAGTCCCAGCTACTCAGGGGCTGAGGCAGAAGAATGGCGTGAACCCAGGAGGCGGAGCTTGTAGTGAGCCGAGATTGCACCACTGCACTCCAGCCTGCGCGACAGAGCCACACTCCGTCTCAAAAAAAAAAAAAAAAAAAAAAAATTTGCAAGAAAGCAGACAGTGAAGAGAACAGATTTACTGGTGGAAGATGTTAGGATTAGCAACAGACACACTTTCACTCTTTCATTACATCTTCAAAGATGAACATAACACAATGCCTACTCTTAGGGACCCATCTTATAAGTAAACTGACAGCCGAACAGCCAATGTTAATACAATATGGGAATAAAAATCAGATCTTGGAATAAGGAAGGACAAGGAGAACCTTCTCCAAATCTAGGTTAAAAGAGAAAGAAAATAGATTTTAAAAAATTGGATATGTTTGAAGGTTATTCCAGGGAAGGGGAGTTGTAAGGATACAGAGGTATGAAAAAGAGAAATGGTCTGACTAGCAATGTGTTACTGGTGGACAAGTAGAGATTAGGCTAAGAAGGTAGAGGAGAGTAAGTCATGAAGAACTATATTTGCTCAGCTCAAAAAATTTAGAATGCTTTCTAAAGTGAAAATTATGGATCAGGAGTTAACTGGGGCCTGAAAAAAGAATTCAGGGAATGTCCCAACTCAGAAATCAGAAAAAAAAAAAAGTCATTATTGCATTAATCATTAACTTCTAACTGAAATTTAGCATTTCTATCAGATAATATATAAATGTAGAAGGCAAACTATAGTAGTAGTAGTAGTATCTGCGGTTTCATTACCAAGAGAAAATATATTTCAATGTTACTTTAGAGTTGTTGCAATTATCTCAAAACATCATTAACACTCATTATTAATTGGAAATGTGGGTTATTATGAGTGAGACCTGTTGCTAGGTTTTATCACTTAATATGTTAATAAATAAGGTATGTGTCATCATATCATAAATTACCATTTTAATATCATAATAGCTGTATTAAAAATATTTATAGTTTGATAACTTTAATATTTTACTTTGTAATTCTACATATTTACTTTATGCATTTAAGGATCCCTAGGTTTTGCCAGACTGCCAAATGAATCCATGTCTCACAAGGAAATTAAGCACCCCTAGACAAACTACATTTGTGGTTGATTTTTATAGACAGAAAAAGAAGAAATAATAATGTAGAAAAGACAGAAAATAACCCTTAAGAAAGGTCAACAAGCTGGGACCCAGAGCATGGGCTTAAGGAGTGACATTTCATAAAAGGAGGGAGTACTGACAATATAACAAGGAAGGAGGTGGGAAACATCATGTGGAAACAATAGATTTGGTGATGGGAGGGTGAGGATCAACATGTTCAATGGCTCCCATTTTCTAAATGAAGTTAAAATTGAAGGTTATTTATCTTCCCTGAAGAGATCATCAGGACTAATCCATCATGACGTACCGCTGTTGACCATAGTCACCATGGGAAGTATTGACCCGACCCACTTCCAGGTCAACAGTGAATACTTGGACTCATACATCACATGGCTCTGTACCACCCCCAATCTGACCCCACCTTTCCAAGACCTCAAACCCATCTGTGAAATCCTTTGGAATGTCATGGACAAAATCCCTGCAACTTCAATCTTTCTCTCCCCATTTTCCTTTACCTTCTTGCTCTGGTTAAAATCAGGCTGTCCCTTGAGAACACTGTTTCTCTATCAGATATGGTGGTGGCTTTTTTACTCTAAACCCACATGTGAGGAAAATATTTTCACTGACCACTCTCGCCTTCTCACTAATTTTTTCCTCTCTAAATTCACCTACTCAATAAAGATTTAAAATAATAAAACCCTAGCTGCTTTAAACTTCATATGGTCACAATCATACCACCTGCTACCTTCCTCCTTGTCATCTACCATCATCCATTGCTACTTTCTCCTCATTAATTGAATATGTTTTCACCTAGCTTACTATCCTTCTCTTCACATAGATGATTCATCAACCATCACAATTGCAAGTCAATGCCTGTCCATCTGTTTCAATGACCTCGTCCTTCAAATCAGCCTGAGGTACATGCTCTGATGTTACTTTACCAGTTCTGCAGTGTAACTAGTCAAAACTGGTCATTGAGCCTTGAAAAATGGATAGTGGGCATTTAATTTTGCTATCTTCTTAAATATCACCTCCCTAGAAAATATTTTCTTGACCACCCTACTCTCCTCACCAACCTCTACTGTCTTACCTCCACTAAGTTGTTTTATTTTCTTTATAACATGTATCATATCTGGCATTATAATATTATTTTATTTTTCCAGTGTATTTCCTAATTCTATACTCAATGTGTTCTGAAATAATTCTAGGGTTATTAAAATTATGATCAAATAAAGCTAAGAATAATTAAAAATAATATTATAGTTGCTAAGATAGAGAGGTATTGGTGCAGAGCTAAATAAATGAATCAAGGGAAGAGTGTTGAGGAATGTGGGGATTGAGCAGAACAACAGAGTAAGTGTGAGAGAGTGTGTGAGTTCATTGGGAATTCATGCAGTGATGGAAGTGGAACTCTGTATAACCACATTGGAAAGCTATTTGGCATTATCTTGACATTAACATATTCTATCACTGGCAACTCTACTCCTGAATATATGTGCCCTGGATGCTTTTCCACATGCATGTCTCAGAAGAAGTTTACTAAAATGATCATAGCAACATCGATAAAATGAAATACTGGAAACCACCCAAATGTCCTTTGACATGGAATGGATAAATAAATTGTGCTATATTCATATGATGGAACATATTACACAGAATACAGAGTAAATAATAGCTTATACATACTGCTATGTGCCAAGCACTGCTCTTGGTGCTTTACATAAATTAATTCATAATTAATTTTTATCTTCAAAGAGGAATAATATTTATCCTTTTACAAATAAAGAAATAGGGACACAAAGGGATTTAGGAACTTGCCCAATATTATACATGCATAGCCAGGATTTAAACACCAAAATCCCAGTTGAGTGCTCCCAATTCACTATGGTACTTCTACAGCAAATAAGGCATGGGTACAGGTACATAATTAAATATAAGAAATCATATTAAATAAAAGAAAACAAAACAAAAGGCAATCCCGGAAGAATGCAACACACCATCGTATATGATTTTTACATAGCCCAAAAGTAGTGACACTACATAATATACTGTGTAGGAAAACAGTATATACAGAATATATACTGTATGGGAAAATATATAATAAAATAATTTTTAAAAATGAAAACAAGAAAGGGTAGTAGGTAGTAATTGCTCCTGGGCAGCAGGGTGCATGTGGAGGGAAATAGGGAGAAGACGAAGGTAGCTGCCCCTGCAATGGGATTGGTGATATTCAGATGTTGGGAGCTGGGTTCAGAAGTATTTATTTTATTATATGTTCTAATGAATGTATGTTATGTATATCCTTTTCTGTATGAAATGTTATGTTTTAAAAGATACTAAAGAAATAAATAGAAAGTGAGAAAGTGAAAAAATAAAAGGCTTTGGCTACATTTTCAAGGTGTTTGATCTGAAGGAAAGATGTATCACCGGGTAGATCCATGGTTAATGGTGTGTGTGTGTGTGTCTTTTCTGTTTTTTAAGAGAGTGTCTCACTGTGCTGCCCAGGCTGATCTTAAACTCCTGGGCTCAAGCAATCCTCCTGCCTCAGCCTTCAGAGTAGCTGGGACTACAGGCATGTATCATATGTTTGTCTTCATTTAGAGGGTCTGAATCTTGTTTATAGATAGGTAAGCTAAATTAAGTGTGGAGACTTTTCCTGATTATCATGACTGTGGAGAGGGTGCTACTGGCATTTTGTAGGTACAAGCCAGGAATGCAGCTAAACATCCTGCAATGAACATGGCACTCCCATCCTTAACTATGCATTATCCAAGATGTCAGCAGTACCAAGTTTGAGAAGCTCAGAGATAGAGAAAGCACAACGGGAGAGATTTAAAAAAAATGTTATATCAGGAAAAAATTGAGACAGTAAAGTCCAGACAAGACAGGAGGAGAGCTGGGCCCCAAAGCAGACATATTACATCTTCAGAGCCTGGTGAGCACCGAAGAACTGACCATTTTCTTAAGCTCACTCTTTTAAGCAGAATGTCATAAAGTAGACCTTACTCCTACTCCGCTGCTACTAAAAGCAGCCTCAGAGGGCATATTGAGAATTTATTGCTTATCATTCTGAAGAAACGGGAAGAACAAGTACAAAATAAGAAATGCAGGTGGGGCTGATGTTACATCAGAGCTAATGAAGCATAACAAGCCTCAGGACTCCTTCCTGGCACCTGCCCAGACTGGTACCTGCCCAGACTGGCACCTGAGAGGAGTCTTTGCAATTTTGAAATTTTTAAAGTTTGTGTTAATTATATTAGTTAAAAGTCTCCCACTCCCCCAAGTTGTATACATTTTGGGCTCAGCAAAATAAGGATTTACCCTGGAGTATGGGGTACTCAAATAGGTTTTATAGCTACTTTCCTTGACATCCTGGCTAGATGGCACCCTGAAGCTCAATGGCCACATATCACTCTATTTAGTTCCCTAAGATGCAGTTCATAAAGCCTCATCACTCTCCGGGTCTCCTACCCTTATATAGTTTTCACAGGTCATTTCCTCATTGAAAGCCCAGCTTCCTAGTTTTAAAGTGCTGAGGGTATAATTAGGCCAAAACAGTACATGAGAGTGAGTAGGTGATTCAATTTCCCCTGCTCTGAAGGGGAATCACATTACAATGAGAAGCTGCTATCTCTTGGTCTTATGGTCCACATAGGAAACAACAGCTCAGGAAAATTGTTATTAAATTTTGTGTACATGAGTCACCTATTTGTTATAAACGTGGATTCCAGGGAACCACTCCATAAGAGTCACATAATATTTTGGTCCAAGGATGATAATTTGAGAACTAATTCTTCAATGAAAAGGTTGTTAATTTTCTGAAATGACAGATCTTTTATAGGTTATTCTAATATTCACATATTAACAATTTTAATATGGGGATCAATCTATGACAGCCTTGTTTATGATCCCTAGATTAGATACTCCTTCACAGAAAATCAGAGTAAGTAGATGGTATCAGAGAGAGAGAGAGAGAAGAAAAAGAGAGAGAAGAAAAAGAAAGAGATAGTGGCAAAGCCAGTTAGGATTGAAGCTGGAAAGAGATCAACCAAGAAGTGAGAGAAAAACCCATTGAATTTGACTGGCAGGAGGTCGTGTGTGTGTGTGTGTGTGTGTGTGTGTGTGTGTATTTTATATATATGGAGAGAGAGGAAGAGTGAAAGAGAGCAATTAGTATACATATGTTTGAAGTCAAAAGAGAACTACATAGAAAATAAAGACATTAGAAAGAAAGGAAAGATAGGGTGAAATGCAATATTTGCTTCTACTTTAACCTGTAATCATGAAAATGATAGAAAAAGGATTAAAAAGACATAATCCAAAAAGGATAAGTAAAACTGGAGTGTAGATGCCAAAGAAATATCAGCAACATTTTAAAAACTCTAAAACATATGGGCAAGTGTTGGCACTTTGCACGCTAGGAAAAGCGGAAATCTAACTGCTTGCAAGGTGACAGGAGCCAATATGCAAGCTGATTCATAAAAAAGACTCCAGAAATTCTTGGAAATTAGAAGCCTAGAGAGTGAGAAGAGGGGTGGGTGTGGATGAAATCAGAAGTGTTTCAAAGTATGCATAATAAGCAGTAATGCCAGACAATAAAGGGGGAACAATCTGACTTAGAGGAGTCCCAGGAAGAAAGTGAAGAGGAGAATGAAGAGAAGAAAAGATACAACAGAAATAATGAGCATTCTCTAGAGCTGAAGGCCATGGGGTCCCTGGTAGAAAGTTCCACTGTGTCTCAGTGCAAGGGGTATAAAAAGAGAGATGCTAAGAGAAACAGGAGAAGGTTTTAAAACACAGAGATTAATTAAAGAAGGGATTCCAAACACATGGGTGAGAGACAGGTTACAACCAAAACTTTGAAATTAGAAAGAATCAGACTTCTCAGCAGCTCTACTAGAAGTTTGGAAACAATGGAGCGGTATCCTCAAAATTCTGAAGCAAGTGGTTTCAACCTAGAATTTTATATCCATCTATCAGTAATGTGTGAAGTTGGAATAATACAATTTTCAAACATGCAAGACTCAACACTGGACTCTGTATCCTTCTTCCAGAAGCTAGGAGAGGATATGCTTCCGCAACATGGCAGACTATAGGTGGTGGGCCTGAGAAACTGAAGTTCTATATAAGTCAGGGGCTGAGAGAATGCTCCAGGTGATGGTGAAGCTAAGCTCCAGCCAGACAAGTGGAGCATGGAGGATACCTTCAATTAAAAACCAAAACATTGTAAACTGATGAAAACTGGTAAATTGTACTACATTGAGAGGAGTATAAAAACTTTTGTAGAGAGGCTGGCGAAAAATTAGTGAAACTAATACAAAAATCTTATCAAATGGAAAAAATGGGGTAATGTTTAATTTCAAGAGGAACAAGAAAATTGTAGAAGTAAAGGAAAGAAGGAAGGAAACAAGGGCAGAAGAAAGGGAGGGAAAAGTGTGATAAAATTCCAGCATGTGGCTCAGTGGTGAATACTATCTTCCTAATAGGTAAAGACACTGGTATTTAACCAAAAGTTTTGGTATAATTATTTTGGGAAGATGGAGGGCAAGTGATTGGAGGGTTGCTGATGAAGTATGGTACACAGAATATTTTAACTGTGGTATTGCAAAAGAAGGATGCTAAAATTCTCATCTTCCTTAAAGATGTATTTCTTAACAGATATTGCCTAAAATGAAACATATCAATAAACAGTATGCAAATGTTATTTTGAAATATGTAGGGAAGAACCAGAAGAAACAACAAGAAGTTTAAAATTATTACCTCTAGGGATAGGGAACTGGCAGAAACCAAGGAATGATGCTTTGTCATAATTAAAAAAAAAATGACTTTAGAAAATATGGACATGGCTCATAAACATAAAAATCAATTATAAAGAAAGTGTATTACATAATACATGCACTTATGCCAAAAATATTGTGTTCTAAATATTTATGTATGTTTTGTGTAAGATTTATATGAGTCTAAGAAAATTTGGCTCAATTATTTGTATAATTATAGACTATAATTACAGATTATTTTTCTCTTTTCCAAAAGATGTTGGTAGTTTCTTGTTTTAAATGTATAAGTTACTCCACCCACCAAGTTAAAGGAGCATCCACCTGAAGTAGTGATATTACCAACAGAACTATATGAGGTAGTTATATCGAGGCCACATATTTAACATTTCTTCAAGCTTGCGCTTTGGAATAATAAAGCCCAGAGGAACTGGTGGTGATTCATCATGCTCCAAACCTAGGTCTCAGGACATTGGGTGTGGTGACAAGGGCCACCATGCAAGAGGAATGTCAAATGCACCAGGCAAGAGTGTCTGGAAATCCAGGTATCAGTGTTGTACTAGAAAAGTTCATACAACATGATTTAGAAATCATTTCCTCAAAATGATTTCAGTTTTAACTAATATTTTATTTAAAAAGTAATCACTCAAAATTTTAAAGTGGTCAATACAATTAAAAAAAAGACAAGTAACATTCTTGAAATTTCCCCCCTTTTCTATCTCTACTGAAATGCAGTTTGATATTTCTATACCTCTTTATAGCCGTCACTGATTCTCTCCAAGCTGAGGGAATATACAAGGTCCCTGCCTCCCACGAAGAGCCTCTCTTGATATTCATCCAGCAGCATTGTATGGAGATCAAGAAATCCAAAAGGGCTATGAAATATTGATGTTCTGTTCAGATTCAAGAGCTCTGAAATGCAAAGTGATACATACACTAAGCACACGAGAAAATGTAAATACCTTTATCACCCTTTTCTCATAGCTCTGTTTTCATCCCTATTGGAACTGAGTCATTAACATTCATTTTATCATACATATACTGGCAAAGAATTTTAATGTGCACAAGTTAAAATATTTCATAAATTTATGAATCTAAAAACTTCAACAATTTAATATGTAAGAAAAATATTCTATATTTTTAAACACAGAAAAATAGTCATCCTTCACAATCTTTAACATAAAGTGCTAGGTGAAAGTCATTTTACAGCTCCTCTAATGTATAATGGTTCCAAATCTACATTAAACCCACCAGAGTGTGTTTATTAAATTCCAGATAAATGCCACTCAGAAAAATAATGTTTCTACTTGAAATTGGTTTTGATAGTCACATCCAAAATCAAATTTTCCCAGTCTGCAAACTCTCAGTGTCATCAATACAATGAGGCATTAATGTGGTAACAGTTACAGTAGGGATCACTGATAAAACTGGTGGGAATATATTTTCAATCATTGCAATTTTTGCTAATACTCTTGCATTCGTGCCTATGCCAGAAATGTTGAGCTATGTTTTACCTATATACATGTAAGAAGTCAGAATCTGGCAAACCTCTCATGTGTGTGCATTTGTTTGTTGAACGTATTTAATTGCATATGGCAGTTTAGTACTTAAGGTTGGTAAAACGATATATGAGAGCCTTTGGTGATGAGAGAGAATAAAAACCCCAGGCCTAGACTCTGGATGCTAAAGAATTCCTGAAGAGGCCCTTTGGCAAATGCTGACAAGTTAGAAGATAACTTTTTTTACAAAGATCAATGCCTAATGCATCTAACAGAGAATGTGAATTCTTAGTGACGAGGACTCTAAAATCTAAACAAATGATAATATAAAGTAGGACAAATCTACAGCACTGTGCCCACTCTTACACTTTTTGTTTCTGAGAAAGAAGAGCTGAAGTATATGCCTCTGTATTAATAATATATTCCTTATCTATGTCTCTACCCTCAAACTGTTGATGCCCAAAACTTTGTGGAGTTAACTTTAAATCTTTAGTTTAAAATGAACAATACTGCTAAAAGTATCTGTTCCTCTGTATTAATAATATATTCCTTATCTATATCTCTACCCTCAAACTGTTGATGCCCAAAACTTTGTGGAGTTAAATTTAAATCTTTTAAAATGAACAATACTGCTAAAATCAATGTATCCCTTATAAAGGTAAAACTTTCTCTTATTGAGTTAGCTTTGAGATATTGAGTCTTTTGACTATTCACCTAAATAAATAATCTGAGAATAAGTTTTGAGGGTGGGGAAAAAAGGAATAATAGGTATAACACATAAGAGGTTTGCCAGATTCTGACATTTTAAAATTAAATATGTATAGGTAAAACATATAGCTTGAAACTTCTGACATAGGCATGAATGAAGAGTATTAGCAAAAATTTCAATGGTAGAAAATCTATTCCCTAATATTCCTTCTTTTCCCACCCTCAAAACTTACTTGGGAAGGAAAAGAAAATAGTATGAAAAATTAGAGGTTCTTGAATCCTGGAAGACAATTTTTTTCCATTTAATAAAAAGTAGAATCATACTGCTTTCCTTTGCATACAGCAAGAGAAGCACAGGTTGGGATCCACTAGCATAACAAAAATATAGCTCAAAACTGTCTGCTATCATTATAATTTGTCTTTATACATAAGCATTTACGTTTATATCAGGGCTGCCAAGTGGATTTTTAGAAAAGTTTTCTCAGTTATTCCAATAGTTTGCAACATTTCTCAGTTTTAATGCACAGTGAAATAATCTGAATGTGTACAACTGATGAAAGGATGGTTACGCACTAGCTTGAATAGGTTCCTAGACTACAGAGCTACCCAAAACACTCCGGTGTAGAGCTTAGGGGACTAAGTTGGGAAATAAGAGAAAGTCATGAAAGGATTCAATTATGAGGGATTTTAGTAAGAGGCAGCCCATCCAGTAAAGGAGGTACTCCATGAGTGAATCCATCTAGGGATGACCTTGCCTGCTACCCAGTGAGGTGATTAATACCTCATTATCCCTGCACGCACATGGCAAGATAGACACCAACTTTTACTTGCTTTTATGACTTACCAATTTGCCTACTTTCTAAGTATATTACAGTTCTAATAGTCTAAAGATAGTAGTTCTTATTTCTTTGTAAATAATAGTAGAAACTAATTATTGAATCATCAATCTTATTTTATTCTGGTGTATCACCTTCTCTTGTAACCTATTCTTCCTCTCTATGGCCAAATCTATCCTATGAAATCACAAAGATGTGCACGTTTCTGTGGGTACATACTTTGGAGAAAGCAGAGGGAAAGAACGGAAGTGTGCATACAACAAATGCAAATTTAGTGAATCTTCATTTTTAATGATCTTTATGTTTATTTATATATATATGTACACACACACACACACATATACTTTTACAAAACAGCAAACAACCACTGTGTGACAGTTTAAATTACCAATGTATTTTATTTTACTGGAGAAACCTGGGTGCTCAAAAATTTAATGACTATCTTATGGTCATACACTATTACAATGAAAATCACTCAATTTACCTCTAAAAACATGAGAATTAAAGTATAACAGGTGCGTATATTATAACCAAAGGTCTTTGTAGACTGAGAATCTGGAAGGCCAGGTTTTAGTCTTGGCTTTGACAATAATTGCGTAGGTAAACTTGAACAACCTCTTAACCTCTTTAGACTGGATTCTTCACCTGTTAATCACCCTTTCACCTTTAAAATTCTTAATTATTTGACTAAATTGCATTTTTAAAATGAAGCTGATAAAACAGTGCAAAAAAAGAAGCAAATCGACACTTAGATGTTTTATGGAGTCCTTTAAAGTACAGTGCTGAGCTTTTATTTTTGTTTTTCATACTGTTGGAAGCTTATCAAAGGGAGGGAGTGGTGAATAGCAAGTCTAACTATCACATGTCCCATGTTTAAGCTTGCCTAAAGTGAAGTAGCTAGAAAATTCATTTACAACTTTTGCTCTGACTCTAAATGATTATAATGTCAGTGAAAAAAAATATAATAAGGAATTTCAGAGATTACTTTTCCTGATTCATTCATATTGCCTCAGAGAAAATTATTGCCAAAATATGTCTGGATACATAAAACTGAATATCATTACATACCATAGGTAATAAATTGAGAAATATCATTTTATTTATGAAGATACTTCTTAGAAACATTTCTAAGGTCATTTTTTAAATTTATAAACCTAATAAACAGACTATAGTTTTCTTTAAACATTTCATAATATAAAAAAAGAAAAATGCATTGAATGCTTCGGCTACTCTCTACCCTGACCAATGCCATTCAACAAAACAGTGACAACAATTGAATTCCTAAGACATTAAGACTTGTCAGTAGGTAGACATTATTTTAAAATCATAGCACTAACTAGAGTTTATGAATGCCATGGTTTATATTTTTCATGTCTACTTTCACTGGCATAAATCCTATCTTGATCCTTAATTTTCTCTAAGGCCTGGACTGCTTTTCCTAACTGGTTACAATTTTGTAACATCCTTGACTTTATTCAAGAAAGGTTAGAAGTATCCATTATAGGTGAATATTTGTGCTTTAGACATATATCTGCAATAATGGACATGGAGCCATTCTAAAATAGAAACTATTTTTGAAAAGATGTGAATGTTTATTATATATTTACTCTTATTTATTCAATATTAACTCAATTTTTCTACTTTATTTGATTAATTTGCCTCTTTCCAAAAAGGATCTGAGATGACTTATACAAATATATCCGATCAAATAAACAAATATATTTCTAGGGAGTAAGGGTAAGAGAAAAACAGTTAAGATGAGTGGGTTGTAATAAATTTAACTGGAAGTCATCCGCTAATATCTGTTACATTATTAAAATGAATCCCAAATTTGACCTCAGCCTTCCCAAAATCCAAAGTAGAGGAAGTCATTGTAACACAAGAAAAAAAAAACTGTATCAATTGCTTAGGAGCATTATCTAGTATTAAGAACTAAGAGAAATTTCTTCTAAGGTTTTAATAGGTATACCGAAAAATACTATGGTGGACATTCAACATCACTAAGAATTAAGGTGTAAAGTTCTACACCTGTGCTTATAACTACATCCCTTAATAAAAGACAACTAAACTAACATCAAAATTCACTCCACCAAAAGTCACTTTATGGCCTTAGGTAGCCATGTTATTTGGAATATTAATGACTGCAATGAACAGAGATTAAATTAAAGTAATGTAAAGGTGAGGACAGAAATCCTGGCTTCATGGTAATCGGAAAACAAACAGAAGCCAAGGTAATTTATCTCTTAGAAGATGCTGCATCTTTGCTTCTTGCTTCTCTTAATGCCACCGCTTCACTGTACTGATTCTAAAGGGCTTATTATTTAGTTTGTTCATGGCCAAATATGTCTGTTAGCTCCCAATTATATATAAATTTCCAGCTCCCACATCACCACAGTGTGACAATAGCTCCTGCATTTCCCAATTCAAATTCTCAAGGGAAATAATGAAATTGTGTCAGCTAGTGTTCATAATTCATAGATTGCTGGCTTCATCTAGATTGAATGTGTTGTGAACAATTATCCATCTGCGGTTAAAATGTGGAAGCCACATGGTAAAAAGGGTGGTTTCTATAATTAATGTGTATGGGGTCAGAGCAGTCAACATGAAGCATGTTTCAATTCCATAGCAAACTTAGCCAGTCTGTCTTTATCCATGAACAAATTTATAATACCATAAATTTGTTACAATCTGTATTTCTGCTAGACTAAATAAGTTGGCCTGCTGTCGATAGCTTTTCATGATTATATAATCATGTTTAGATGTTCATGATGTTTAGATGTTCATTCATATATAGATGTTTATGATTATATAATTATATTGCATGTTGGAGAGTATCTGCCAAATATGAAAATTTGAGTCTTCATTAATTGATCTTAAGTCATTTTTCCCGATAATAACTGGATTGTGAAAGTGACTCACATGACTGGATAATAAATTTCATATCTGCATAGAGAAGAATGCTTCTATTTCCAATCTATTTTATAATGAGATTTTCATCTATCTCATCCATAAGAAATTCATAGAAATTGCAGTATGCTTTATTTGTAAAAAGAGCATTATAAACATAAAACAATTAATGAGATCAAAGCAGTAAACTTTGATAAATCATGGAATTCTGAAGTTTAAGAAAGAAGCAGAAACATAATTATTAGGGGAAACATGGGGAAAAACATACATATAGCACGTATGGAAACAAATTGTTTTTAATATGTTCTTTTAATATGTTGAAAAAAACTATTTTAAAGAAGTAAAAATATCAACACTGTTCTGTGAATAGGACATCAAAGACGCAAAAAGTGAATTTGCATAAAAAGAATTCAACTTCATTAAATGTTCAAAGGAATGAGGATAAAATATCATTTTAAGAGGTATTTTTAAAAATTACAATAACTAGTGAAAATAAGAATTCAGGCTCTTCTAGAGACCTATGTAAAATTTCTATATTACACAAATTTTCTCCAGTGAACATGTGTTACTTTATCAAAAATGAAATTATATAAGTAAAAGGGGAAGATGTACGAGACGTCTCATTTTTTATGCAACCAAATTTCCTCCTATATCCAGGTACTGGTCCTCCCCACCCTAACTCTCAAGGTGATAATAACAGTTAATAAATATTTATTGAGCAGTTACATGGCATGTACTATCTAAGGGCTAGACAATTTTATGTCATGTAATCATTGTGACATCTCCTCAGAAATACTATTATCCCCATTTTCTGTATGCAAAAAGAGAATTTATTAGAGATTCAGTACAGAGCTAAGGTTATTTGGTCAGTGTTGGTGACAAAATTTGAACGACAGAAGTTGACTGGAGAGCTTTGTTACAATGCACTGAGATTTCTAAATATTATTTTAAAAATACCCTAGTAATTAAAAGTCTAGTCTATTAAGGGATTATAATGTGTCAGAAATGAATGCATTTTTTGCAGAGCCTGATATAAATAATAAGATAGAAGGTTTTCAAAATATTTAATAGGTTGTATTGAGATAATTCAAAATTATTTAATGGCAACAAGATAAATAGAAAAATTCAGGTTAATATCAATTCAACTTTAATCACCTTTATTGTGTATTTTATAAACTATCCGAAATAATTACAAATTTTTTTTGCTTTGACTTATTGATTCATGACATTTTTAGTTTTACATATCTCATATTTGAGAAAACTGAAATATTTCTATCTAATTTGCTATGGAGTTTCAAAATGTATTGAATATTTTTTGCATATACTGAAGGCAATATAAAGGCAAGCAAGGCTTTCTTCCCTCCTTAAGAATTTTTCCTTTCTTAGTTTTAGAGTCACTCCTTTAAGTCATATTAATTATCTGAACTCCAAATCATGGTCCCTGGACTTGGCATATTTACCAAGTAATGGCTGACTCCTTTAAATCCCTTCATGCTGCTTCAAGCTGCCTGGATGAAAGAAACAGAAAATATACAGGAAGATGGGGACAGAAGAAACTCTAATCTCAGGTAATCTCAAGAAAACACAGTGAAATAATGGACAGTGCTGACTCCGTTAAATGAAGCAAGCTCATCTTGAGTTCCTCCTACTCTAAAAATAACATGAATTGCTTGGGGATGGAATGGACAAAGAAATAAGATGAAACTGAAATGCACCAACTCAGAGTTCATCCGGAAATTTTCTAAAGAGGGAACTAATTATTATTGCTAAGCTGCATGCTAGTTATCAGCTGTCAATGAAGATATACTCTGAGGATTTAGTCATTTCCTCTCGTGGCCTTTCCTTTTAACCTGCAAGAGACACAGTTTTAAAACTCACTGACATCACTATATTACAAAGACAGTTCTCTACACTTTGTCAAAATATATTTAAATGCTATAGTTCCTTGTGTACGATGAAGGAGAGGAGAACACACATTTTTCAGCTCTCAAACAAAAATAGATTTCAGGGGAGAGGTGTTTCTTTCTTGAATGCACATTTCTTGTTCCACCGTCACCTGCCAAGTAAAGACTTCCTAAGACTCAAGACTTTAACTAAACTTGTCATGGTTTTCTGAGTTAATTACGTTATTCAATATTGTCCTAAGGTTAATTCAACAAAAAAAATTGAATTTCAGTCAGTAAGCATTGTTAATGAAAATGAAATATGGAAATAGCCATTAGAAATTTTCTTTAACTTTGTAATGGTTCAAAAGGAAAAGGTTTCTCACAACATGCTTTGATGATTTTGACAGATTTGACTGATGATCACTAGTGGCTTATGATGTTGAAACAGATTCGTAAAGAAATAAGCAATTAACTTTTTAAAAACTATAAACACAGACTAGCTCATTGATTTGCTAATTGCTCTTTTTAGCAATGGACAATCAGCTTGTCTTTCATGCAGTCTTTGAACTTTTAGGTTCTATTATTTTCACAAGTCAAAGGTGTACAATAGGCATTGTTGTACTAAAAGTTGCTCAGTCATAAACCACTTTCCAAAGAAAGCAGGAGTTCAGATATACATAGGAATAGCCTAGACATTAATTCTCCAGTTAAAAGAAAATAATATAATTTATAATTTTCAGATTCCTTGTGTTCTTATCATATGTAAATTATTATTTAATGTTATATGGAAAAGTAAATATGTAAGTGAAGATGTATTTAATGATTAAGATGAAGACATTCATGATAAACTACTTCTACTTAATAAATAGTAAATATATTTTCTCTTATGGTTTTCTTAACATTTTCTTTTCTTTAGCTTATTTGATTGTAACAATACAGTATATAATACATATAAAAATATGTGTTACTCAACTGTTTATGTTATCAGTAAGGTTTCTGGTCAACAGTAGGCTATTAGTAATGTTTTCGGGGATTCAAAGGTTATATATACTCCAGCTTTAGACTGCACTGGGGTTTAGCATCCCTAACTCCCAAGTTGTTCAAGCATCAGCTGTATATTGAACATCCACTGTGTTAGGAATTATATCTGGAGTTTCAGAGGAATACTAAAGATCAATATAATTCTATAAATATAACACAAATCCGATTTTAGTATCCATTTTATTTATGAAATTTAGAGATAATTTTTTTCAAACTTGTGTACTTAATAAAATCAGGCACATTCACTTTTTTTTTTTTGAAACAGAGTCACTCTGTTGCCCCCGCTGGAGTGCAGTGGTGCGATCTCGGCTCACTGCAGCCTCCACCTCCTGGGTTCAAGCGATTCTCTTGCCTCAGGCCCCTGAGTAGCTGGGATTACAGGTATGTGCCACTATGCCCTGCAAATTTTTGTATTTTTTAGTAGAGACGGGGTCTCACCATGTTGGCCAGGCTGGTCTCAAACTCCTGACCTCAAATTATCTGCCCACCTTGGCCTCCCAAAGTCGTGGGATTACAGGTGTGAGCCACTGTGCCCAGCCTTTTATAAGAGAATAAATTTTATGGTTCAAAAGCCAAAAGATATAAAGGTTTAGAGTGATAAAGATAAACTTCCTTCCATCTGGACTTTCCCTCTATTTAGTTCTTACTTCTTTGCCCTCAATGGATTAATCCTGTCTAAAATCTTGGGCATTCCTTCAAGTTTTTTATGCATATGCAACAAATTAGATGTATAAATCTTTATTAATTCTCAACTTTTTTACAGTCAAAAGGAATCATAATATAAACCTTTTTCTTTACCTTTCTTTTCTTCACTCAAAATATCTTAGAAGTATTTCTGTATCAAAACTTAGAGAGGTTATAGTTGCAAATAACATTTTGTTGTATGGATCACCTGCGGTGGGCATTTGAAATCTTTTAAATTTTTACTACTAATACAGCACTGCAATGTATATATATGAATATATGTCCATTCACAGATGTGCAAATATATTGGTAAGATAAATTTTAAAGTGGAATTACCGGGTCAAAAGCATTTGTAATTTTAACAAATACTGCCAACTTTGCTTCCATAGGGATTATATCACTTTAAAATTCCCTGACTATATGCAAGAGTGCCTGTATCCCCATAACCTCATAAACCATATGTAATTAAAGTTTAGGGTGTTTTGCTAATTTGATGGAGAAAATATAGTTTGAATTTCTCTTATTATAAGGTGAGGTTAAGCATCTTTCATATATCTTAGGGTACTTTTGTGATTGTTCTTACTACATTCATTGTCTATTTTTCTGTTGGATTAAAGTTGCTTGCCCATATTTGAATTTAAGGAATTTTTAAACTGTTAAGTTTTAAGTTTTGAAGGTCATGGCTGAGAGATGAAGGAAACTGGGCCTTTAAATGTAGAAATTCGTGTATCACTTATGTTGGAAAGATATTTTAAAGGTGTTTTATTTTAAAAAATAGAGTTAATTCCCTTTTTATCTCATGCAGCCTCCTCTTTCATAAACTTAATTCTTGATTATCTGGAGTAATTAACCAATTTAACAATTAACAGCTTATATAAAATGCTTATAATTTTAAATACACATATGCACATATACGCGCATGCACACACACACAATGTTACTCATCAGAAGTGGGCAAGGGGCATTCTCAGTCTTCCAGAGGCTGAATTTGGACATCAACAAAGTCCTATGCACTCCTATTCAACTGGCGAATTATGTGGGGATAAGAAATGTGTGGCTTTACCCAAAATAGAGCACTTATTTGTGAGAATTCCAGAATTTTGACTAATGAATATTTTATAATAAGATGTTATAGATATTCAGTCAAAGCAGAAGTTAAGGAAGCCAAGAATATATATGAACTACTGTGGTATTTTTCTGCAACATTAGCCACTTAAAACTTACTTAAAAGAGGCCGGGCGTGGCGGCTCGCACCTGTAATCCCAATACTTTGGGAGGCCAAGGCGGGTGGATCACAAGGTCAGGAGTTCAAGACCAGTCTGGCCAATACAGTGAAACCCCATCTCTACTAAAAATACAAAAATTAGCCAGGGATCGTGGCAGGCACCTGCAGTCCCAGCTACTAGGGAGGCTGAGGCAGGAGAATTGCTTGAACCCGAGAGGTGGAGGTTGCAGTGAGCTGAGATCAGGCCACTACACTGCAGCCTGGGCGACAGAGCGAGACTCCGTCTCAAAAAAACAAAAAACAAAACAACAAAAAAACTTACTTAAAGGAGGGGAGAGAATGAAAACAGATTTCTAGGAATCCTACCAAATGCTTTCAGTAGTACAATAGCCCATATTTTATAGGTATGATCATCATCTATACATCTATCTAACTTTCTTCCTTTTTTTTTTTTTTTTTTTGAGATAAAGTTTAGCTCTTGTTGCCCAGACTGGAGTGCAATGGCATGATCTCGGCTCACTGCAACCTCCGCCTCCCAGGTTCAAGCGATTCTCCTGCCTCAGCCTCCCAAGTAGCTGGGATTATAGGCATACGCCACCATACCCGGCTGATGTTTGTATTTGGTAGAGATGGGGTTTCACCATGTTGGTCAGGCTGGTCTCGAACTCCTAACCTCAAGTGATCCACCTGCCTCGCCCTCCCAAAGTCCTGGGAGTACAGGCATGAGCCACCATGCCCGGCCTCTTCCTTTCAAAATACTTTCATGTATTCTATGAAATTGTCTGTGGTAACAAAGCTTTGATTTTATTTAGGTACTTATTTTTTAATGTTAAGCATGTTTAGATAGGATTCATTTTACAGCAATATTTTAAAAGTCAGCTTTTCTGGATTATGCCATTTTACAGAGAATTAGCTCTTATACAATATTTAAAACTTAATAAGATACTATTATTTTATACATTTACATCATATTCTTTCTTAGGATTAGGTCTGAAATAAATGGATGATATCTGGTTACTTCATCATTAATTCACATTAAAATACATATTTAACAATTTTTATTTCATTCGTTCAATCTGCACCACCATAAAACAAAATGCATTTTGCTAGATGCCTTCTGATTTATGAACAAAGTTAGCTAATGTGTACAAAAGTGTAATGTTATAATTACATATTATTTAAATCATAAATACATTTCGGTTTTATCTCAACTCAAAAATATCCTGTTATAGAACTAATGTATTCTCTACGATCTGTATTTTTAACTGAAGTCATGCTAAGAAGTTGAATAGGTCTATCATCTACTTTTTTTTGTTCTTTTTGAGATGGAGTCTTTCTCTGTCACCCATGCTGGAGTGCAGTGGCACGATCTTGGCTTACTGCAACCTCCACCTCCCGGGTTCAAGCAATTTTTGTGCCTCAGCCTCCCAAGTAGCTGTGATTACAGGTGGATGCCACCACACCCAGCTAATTTTTGTATTTTTAGCAGAAACAGGGTATTATTGCCAGGCTGGTCTATTATCTACTTCTTCGTCTGATCATTTTAATGACAGGTCTAATGTAACTTGTTAATACATATATAACTTTTTATGTTTTTGTTGAAATTGTATACTTTTCTCTAGCAAAAACTTTATTGATCTTTGGCCTATAACATGTTTTCTCTAGTTAATAATCCATCTTATAACAACAAAGAAGCAAATTAACTAAAACTGGAATCACATTTTTTCTTCATATACTGAATTGAATATTTGATAATTTAAGTTTTTCAAATATGACTCCCAAATTTTTGTCTTCTATCTTGACCCCCAAATCCATACTTGAGCAGCCAAGTCCTAATAGCTATCTTCTCTTAGAGTCTAAAAGTCTTCTGAAATTTAGCAAATTAACAATATGGTCTTGATTACCAGAGACAAACCAACTCCTTTCCCAGGCTTCCACTCAGTAAATGGTTCTTTGGCTCTTGGCAAAAACCTAGAATTTGTCCTGATTCTTCTTTCTTGAGTGCCACACTATCTATCCTTAGCATCTCCTCTACCACCTCTCATCTGGACCACTGAATGTTCTTCCTATTATTCTGTCTTCTATGCTCCGTGCCTCCCTCGACCACCACCAATCAGTTCACCTCACAGTAGCCAGAGTGATCATTTCTTTCCTTAAAAATATAAATTGGGCTGTGATGTTCCTACCGTTGTTTCCCAACTCCTTTAGATTAAAATCTGGCTCAAAGTCTGTCATTACCTCTTGGTTGCCTACCTCAGCCCTGGTGTTGCTCCACTTTCTCCTTTTCTCACAGAGCTCTAGGGCTTGGGCTTTAGAGTTTGGCCTGGACTCTCCTTCTGTCTGCCACCCACCTCCTTCTGACCTCCATGCTGTTGGCTCCTCCTCTCATCTGGATCTTCACTCTGTCTTCCCAGTCTTAAGAAATAAGCCCTCCCAGTCTTAAGAAATAAATAAGCCTTCCCAGTGTTAAGAAATCTAAAGATTCCAACCAGGCATTCTAAGTTGCACCATTATCTTTTCATATCCTGTATTGCATGAATGCTACTAGGTTTTGTGTTTTTTAAAATTTGTTTGGTTGGTTTTTCTTATATATGTTTTCTCTCTTCTGACAAGGAACATGTTCCATAAGAAATTGTAAGCCTTTCCATCTTGGTCACTATGATATCCCCAGGACCTAGACCAGTTCCTATGGTTTATTTCGTAAGCACTAGATAACAATATGTTAAATGAATGAACTTTTCTGTGTCTCACTGTCCTCATTGTGAAATAGGGATAATAATAACTAACTGGTAGGACTGCCGTAAGAATCAAATGATTCATAGTACCTAATGGACAGCAAATATATATGAGTTTCTTTCTCTCTCTTTTTTTTTTTTTTGATGTCAATAAGTTATGGGTCAAGGGCAGTGAATGCAAATTTCCCTTGTTGAAATAGGGCTTTCTTAATTACGTTCTGTCAAGTGGGCATAGTTACTCTCAGGGCTCATAATATAGGCTCAAAATGAAATAGGAAATTTCACAATTACATGATTACTGTGATCAGTGTAAACAGCTACTGCGTATTTTTAGGGAAAAACCTCAATTTTCTACCAATAGTAATTTGAGTCAATTTTATATTTCTTCTTTTTATCCATTCCCATCTCAGATTGCAACAGAAAATTTGTCTTTATTTCCTAGGAAGTTTGTTTTTTTCTTTATTTATTAATTTATAAGCTCAGCCTGAAATAAACTATACAAAGCATCTCTAGTTTACCCTTGAAATTTGAATTCTAAGTGCCAAACTGGCAGGCAAAAATTATTTAAATATTTTATTCTTACTATTACTATTAAAGTTTAAATTTCTAGGAGTTTTCTAGTACAGTCATTTGTCATTTAATGATGGGAATACATTCTGAGTAATACATAATTAAGGAATTTCATTTTTGTGCAAACATCATGGAGTGTACTTACACCAACCTAGATGGTATAGCCTACTGCAAACCTAGGCTATATATGGCCTATGTATCCTAGGCTACAAACCTGTTCAGCATGTTACTGTGATGAAAACTATAAGCAATTGTAATTTGATAAGTATTTGTGTATTTGAATATATCTAAACACAGAAAAGGTAAAATAAAAATACTGCATTATAATCTTATGAGACCACCCTCATATAAGTTGTCTGCCACTGACCTAAATGTTGCTACGTGGCACAAGACTGTACTTAATTTGGTGGCTGACTTGTAAGGACAGAAACAGAATTGTCAATTTTCCTACAGATGTATGGTTGAAGTGATGTTACAGGATCACAGCAAAATAGCCTCTACATTTTCCCCACTTGACCTCTAATAAAGACCGTCAGTCTTATCTTTATAAAAATAAGGCCTTCCCTCAACTCACAAATTTAATCCTATAAAATATTCTAAAAACACACGGTTTCCAGATACACCAGGAGTTTGCAATCTGACATCTGAAATGGTTGCACCTTTAAAAATCTGTAGTTTTCAGACTGACATATTACCAAAGCAATGACTATTGTATAATTTGAATACTTTATCAATATCACATTTTTCTCATAATTACTAAAATGATAGAATAATAACTGAATTTCAAATCCAGGCAGAATGAAGTGCAACTTTATAATCTTTTATATCCTGTTAATTTCATAGAAATTGAACCTACTCATCTACATTATAATAACAAAGAAAATAACACTGTTGGTAGATGCTATGTGGATGTAGAGATGAGGCTGTGTGTTATTTACCATTACTTCATAGGTTTGGAACTGTCAGACAATCACCAAAATCTTATTTGCTGTTAAATTACGTGCCTCAATTACTGTAGTGGCTACAATGTGAGCTGGATGCTTCTTACTAGGTAATAGGCCCCCTGGGTACGTGGGTTCTCTTTAGATGTGGCTAAGAGAAACATGAAGACAGAAGACAAACCAATGCTGTGTGTACAGTTCACTGATGACTTTCTTTCACAAAAAGTTGCCTTAGTGACTAAGCTGCTAACCAAATTCTTCTTCTGTTTTCCTTTTCTGGCAATTATCAGTTAGTATTGATTTACTATCCAGAAATCCCTGTTGTTTATAACCTGTCGTGAGGCAAATAGTACCTAAGAAGACCACCCATGTTTTCTCTGGAAGCTATGAAGGGAGGGCAACTCACATTCACAGAAAGGCTCTTATGTGTTAGGTACTGTGTGAAATATCCAATATACATAATTTCACTTACCCTTCACTCCACCAGTAGGTGCATATGGCTTCTATTTTACAAATTAGAAAAACAGAAGCTCACCGAGAAAGTTAAAAAACTTCCTATTGTCACTTATCATTTGAATATTGACATTTCTGGATCTTATTCATTTTGCTTATTACAAGTTACAATAACAAAAGAAGTTGTATAAATTATATAGTGGTTTCTTCATGGATTAAGATTAGTCATAAGTTTTCAGTAATAGGCATTACAGATATTTCCCATATTTTATGCACATATCAAATAATATTTACTTTTAATAAAAGGTCATAGATAACCTTTGGGGGTATACATTTTTAAAATTGTATTTCAGCCTTTTTTCATAAAACCTGATTTTCAGCCTCAATCATCCAAAATTCTATCTCATTGCAGCTTATGTTACAAACCCAATCAAAACAAATAAATGAATAAAAATTAACACAGAGGATCAGACAATATAAAGATCAGAAGCAAATAAAATTAATTTAAAAATCTAAGTCTATTAACCTCAAACAAATAAAAGGAGATCATATCCCTAAAAATAAAAGGTAATTAAAAGAAATCAAGATACCTGTTTTGTTCCCAAAATTACCACTGAATATACCATTTATAGGAAAACTATTTTTTAAATTTAAACTTCCCCATTTGTGGAAGTATAGGAGTGGATGGGATGAGCACCAAGGTTTCTCTCACTTCATAAACTATTGTCATCTCTAGTTGGGAAAAGAATAAACTGAAATTGTCCAGAGGATGCTTTCTAGAAATTTTTTATTTGTTAATTTTTGGAAACCATAAGAATTACAGAATTAGTTCTATCATTATGGAAAGATAAGAATTTATGCTGAAGATACAATTATATATATTTGTGGCCGGGCACAGTGGCTCATGCCTGTAATCCCAGCACTTTGGGATGCCAAGGGGGGCAGATCACAAGGTCAGGAGATCGAGAACATCCTGGCTAACATGGTGAAACCTCGTCTCTATTAAAAATACAAAAAATTAGCCGGGTGTGGTGCCACATGCCTGCAGTCCCAGCTACTCGGGAGGCTGAGGCAGGAGAATGGCGTGAACCTGGGAAGCGGAGCTTGCAATGAGCTGAGATGGCACCACTGCACTCCAGCCTGGGCAACAGTGCTAGACTCCGTCTCCAAAAAAAAAAAAAAAAAATATATATATATATATATATATTTGCTCAGTTCTTGTGAAGCTGTCAGAAAAAAAGTATATTGCCTTGGGTACAAAAAAAGTAACCAATTTATTCTTATTGATCTGTTTTCCTGTAATTTTTGATAGGCTTCAAACATAAGTGGCAAGCACTGTTCACAATAGCTAATTTTGGAAGCAACCTAAGCTTCCATCAACAGATGCATGGATAAAGAAAACGTATAGCGCATATACACAATACAGTATTATTCAGACTTAAAAAATAATAAGATCCAGTCATTTGCAACAATATGGATGGAACTAGAGATCATTACGTTAAATGAAATAAGCCAGGCACAGGAAGTCAAATATCACATCTCACTTATTTGTGGGATCTAAAAATCAAAATAATTGATCTGAGGGACATAGCAGAAGGATAGTTCCCAGAGGCTGGAAAAGGGAATCGGGGGCTTATGGTGTGGATGTGAGGATGGTTAATGGATAAAAAAAAATAGAATAAATAAGATCTAGTATTTGATAGCACAGCATGGTTAAAAAAACATAAGGGGCAAGAAATATATTGATAATTGTATACCTGTATCACACACTTTTTAAGAAAATGAGAAAATATAACTTAGGTCATGCTAAAATTAGAAGAACTGAAAGATTTACAAAACCCATATAAATCATAATGTAATCTCCTATGCCAAAACATTATTACTCAGAAAACAAGTAAGTTGGCAAATGTGAACACCTTTCCACACACACTGAGAACAAGAGAATGGATGATAATTTTTTTAAAGTATGGAAAACTTGGAAGACACTTTTATACGATAAGTTAAAATGTCTATTATAGAACTCACTGGGTAAACTTCAAGGTATAAAATTAGTTCTAGACGAGCAATTTATTAGTAGAGCAAGTTTCAAGAATGAAACTGAAGTTGTGTCACAAAATTGAAGATCAGGTTCTTACATTCTATATTTTATTTTAGACTGCCAATCATCTCCTTTGAGAATCAACTAAATTTCTGAGAATATCATTCCTGCCAGCTGGAGGCAAGAGCAAAATTCATTACCATGTAGCTGCCCTATCCCTAGACCCCAACTTTATCAGAACAGATGCTAGTGCCCAGGTAACTGGCCATCCATCATCTAGTCAAATATGATCTTTAAAATAGTTGGATCCTCTGGCAAGGTCACTACCCCTATCTGGAAGGAAAAAATCCATGTAAAATTGAGAACAGGAGGTCAATTTTCTTTTTCTGCCATGATTAAGAAGAGGGAGCCTCCACCACTGGAAGGGAGCAAATGCATTAACCTCCCTGACTGGCAGGTACCCATTAAAGTGATGATATAATTCTTCACAGTGCTTGCAGTGAATGACTGCTGGGATTTATCACTTCAAAACAGAACTCTGTGTGTGTGTGTGTGTGTGTGTGTGTGTGTGTGTGTGTGTGTGTGTGTGAAAGGGAGAGACAGACAGAGATGGAGACAGAGAGACACAAAGAGACAGAGACAAATGAAGAACCTGAATGTTGGGAGAGCAGCAAGCAGGGGCAAGCAGGTGGTGGAAAAACTTTTACTTCAACAATAATTCTTTCACTTTGCAATAGGGAAAAGAAACATGACAATTAAAACTGATGCAGGCCAGGTCGCGGTGGCTCACACGTGTAATCCCAGCATTTTAGAAGGCCAAGGTGGGAGGATCATTTGAGCCCAGGAGTTCCAGACCAGCTTGGGCAACATAGTGAGACCTCATCTCATCTCTCCAAAAAAAATAAAAAATAAAAAAAATGCCAGGCATGGTGGTGTGCACCTGTGGTCCTGGCTACTTGGGAGGCTGAGGTGGGAGGATAGTTTAAACCTGCAAGGTTGAGGCTGCAGTGAGCATGGCCACACCACTGCACTCCAGCCTGGGTGACAAAGCAAAACCCTGTCTCACAAAAAACAAAAAACTGATGCAAATAATATCAAGAAATGAGCATATCAGTTATAGTTCATAGTACTAAAAATAATATAAATTAACAGATATGATATTGAGGCATTTAAAACTATCAAGTCTCAGCCTGCTTTTGTAAAACTTGTCAATTACAGCCCTCAGAGAGCCTCCTTATTTTCCTTGTAAAGATTAAAACAATATTATTATACCTGAATTGTTAAATGCCTTCAAACTGCTAAAATCTTTTTAGTGTGAACATTCCTGAATATAAAAATATTAACTAAATGATTGATTGATGACATAATTTTCTTTTTCTTTTTTTTTTTTTTTGAAGATGGAGTTTTGCTTTTGTTGCCCAGGCTGGAGTGCAATGGTGCGATCTCAACTCACTGCAACCTCTGCCTCCTGGGTTCAAGTGATTCTCCTGCCTCAGCCTCCCGAGTAGCTGGGATTACAGGCGTGCGCCACCACACCCGGCTAATTTTGTGTTTTTAGTAGAGACAGAGTTTCTCCATGTTGGTCAGGCTGGTCTCGAACTCCCAACCTCAGGTGATCTGCCCACCTCGGCCTCCCAAAGTGCTAGGATTACAGGCGTGAGCCACTGCGCCTGGCTTATAATTTTATTTTTCAAAGGCAAAATTACTGGCAGAAGTTGTAACTCCTTCTATAAAATCAATTATATTTGCAATATTTATACTTCATATCTTTAATATTCAATGACATAGCATAGTACATCTGACATTTTAAATTATATTTTATTATAAATTATCTATGGGGAATTTAGGTTGTAGGATGACAAGTATTTAGCACATTTCTCTTAGTAAATAAAGATAAATTTTATGCACAGTGGCAAATTGCCATGGGTAAAATAATAATTAATTTCCAATGTAATTGACTACCCTACTATATGACCAAAAAGACTCCTTATGTCCACCAAAAAGACAAAAACATACTTTTTGATCTGATAATAGCAAATTCGTTAAGTACATTATAAACAGAAGCTTAATGTTTTCAGTAGGGTTTAATCTAATGGGCAAGTTTGCACACCTGGTGTAATTTGAAGGGGGAACATGTAAAGGGCCCCTTGAGCCCAATTATTTAATCCTCCCCTAGTTACTCGTGTCATTAAAGTTTTACAACTTTTATATTTTTGACTTTCAAGAGACTCTATTAAAATTTTGGGACCCCTGGGATGTATTATACTTAAACCTTTATTAACTAAAAACTTTGCTTTGTCTTAACACTTGAACTAGATCTAGCATAAATATAACACTAGATAAACCTAGGAGAGGGATGATTTTCAAGGGAGAAAATGAGGATAATATTAGGTGAGGGCTACGTGTTTAGGGGTAGGGGGAAAACATGAAGGTTGATCCAAATGCAGTTTTCATAGTGTTGCCCTGAAGGGCCCTGGCACACAGATTTGCTATTTTGCTGCAATAAGGAGGCCAGAGCCAATTACACTGTTCACTTCTGTCTCAGTTTCCTGGAGGCAACGAGACACACTCTGTGACATATGAGGGTATGTCCCAAAAGTCTAGGTAATTTGGTCAAAAATTTACCTTACCCTTCCCCATGACAGAAAACAAAACAAAACAAAACAAAAACAAACAAAAAAACCAACTTATATCTATGGTAAATTCAGTGTTCAGTGTGGGGGATTTTCTTCATTTCCAATTTTGACTCTGCTTCCGTATCTTCTAGATTCTCTACCTGGGTTGCACATTGGAATCTCCTGGAAGCTCTTAAAATGTTGATGCCTGGGACCCTTGCCAAGAGAGTATGGCCTATTTGATCTGTCACTGGAATTTTAAAAAAATTTCCCCAGGTAATTCTAATGTGACAAAGATTGAGAACTTCTGCTGTAGAATGTTTCTGCTAATGCTCAGCTATTAGATAAGGTACATACATAGTATTTACTTAGTCCCTGGGTTCACAAGCTTGTAGATCAGTCACAAAGAATTGCCAAGACATCAAACTTGCCAGAATGTTCCAGCCATTACTTAATCCCAAGTCAATAATAGTAGGAAAATAAAACTGACCACTACTACTTGACATTGTAGACAAGATCAAGAAGGGGAGTGAGAAAAAAATCTTGCTTGACTATTACATCAACATATTAATAATGGATGTAAAAATGTTGATCCTCACATTCTTGAGTATTATTGTCTGTTTTTTGGAATGGCCATCAAACCATCTAATAAAAATACAAATTGATCATTGATGAGATTTAATCCTGTCAAATCCACTCCATTTTTAATTAAGCAAGTGTTTATTTTAGAGGAATTAGAAAATACTCATAGACCCTTTTTATAGATAATAAGGCATTGTCTTCAATTTGTACAGGAATAAAAATTCAGCTCTGATGAGAATATGCAATATCTACCAATTTCTTTTGGTCTATATCTTTTCACAAGAGGATTTTAACTGTATTGTGTATTGTAAGCTTCTCATATTTCTAGAGGTTTCACACATTTATATGATTTTAACACATCATCTTTACAGTAAGAGGTGGAGTAATACAATATTGCATATCCCAGTAGATATATACTAATATAGTGTACTTGCGTGCTTCCAAACTTTTTCCTTCAAACATTGAACCATGAAGAAATGCCACAGATTTCCAAGGTTATCAATACTTTCCTCTTCTAGTAGAGAAAATGTATCTCTCTCCTCTCCACAGAGAAAAAGGATTTTTCGATAGAATATTCCTTATCAATTGTTATGATTTTTACCTGGCAAAAGTTGAGATAGAAACTCACTCTATTTATTAAAACCACAAAATCTGGTAGTTGTGTAAAACTGCCCTAAAAGCTACAAAGCAAATGTGGTTTCTCCTAAATATTTATATACATATTCCATGATGTGGCTAGTTGACATTTGGTGAAATGTCCCTTGTCTGGCCAATGAGATAACCCTCGTGGTGAATCTAATTTGATGAATCTAATGCTCAAGAAAATAATTATATGTATAATATCACACTTTTTTTGTAATGGCTAATCTTGAATATCTCATTGGCAGAAAGTTATTTTTAAAAGATGGTGTTTCATCACTCAGATTTATTATAATTAAAAGGGGACTAAACTTAAAAAAATAAGTCTGTGTTGAAATCTACAAGTTTGATTTTAGCAGCTGTCAACTTTCCAAATTTTTTGGTAAACTTCTTGTGGTTCCTGTAGTCTGTAGGGTTTTTAAGACCCTAAGGTAAGAAATCTAGCTATCTAAAAGACTTCCAGCCATATTTAACTCATGCAGTTATAAATGGTGGCAGGACAATTGTACTAAGTGCTTGCCAATGTTACAAATGAATGCCTTCTTTGGGTTAGTCTTAAATATGTTTTTTTTTTTTTTTAATGAGAAAACAGACATTTTAGGATGAAAAGATTCAAAGAAATGTCAAAGGATTCTAATGCTTCATTTTCTACTAAAACCAGAATTAAACAGCATTTATAGTTGCCCCAATGATTACAGTCCTCTATTCAGTAGATGAGCTTTTCAGAAGGTCTGAGGTGATCTACTTCTTAACTACCTGCAGCTAAACATTTCTAAGTGGGTAAGGGTCTAGAGCAATCAAATCTCCATTCAGAATTTGAGGTTGGAGTCATAGTGAAGGTTCCCCTCTATTCTCCAATAGCAACATTAAATGAAAGAAGAGTCCTAGTGCGGTGGCTCATGCCTGTAATCCCAGCACTTTGGAAGGGCGAGACAGGTGGATCACCTGAGTTCAGGGGTTCGAGACCAGCCTGGCCAACATGGTGAAACTCTGTCTCTACTAAAAATACAAAAAAGAAAAAAAATTGCCCAGGCATGGTGGTGGGTGCCTGTAATCCCAGCTACTTGGGAGGCTGAGGCACGAGAATCGCTTGAACTCCGCGAGGCAGAGGTAGCAGTGAGCCGAGACCGCGCCATTACACTCCAGCCTGGCAACAAAAGTGAAACTGCGTCTCAAAATAAATAAGTAAAGTAATTAAAATAAATAAATAAAAGAGACTGTTGCATGTTCCAATTGTTGCAACATATGAAAAGTATTTTCTAAGAAAGAAGCATACAATGTCTGTTATTTCGGTACAAGAGATTAAAAGTTACGATTCATTAGTTTTATTTTTTTTACCCCAAAGAAATAAAAAAATTATCATTTCATGAATGCTAAGAATGGTTTTAGGCCCCTAAAGACAAATTTGTCCAAAAATGGTTTTATTTCACTGAAAAGGTAATCCAGGTGGCTGATTTCCTCCACCCTCTGAATTGATCTTTGTCTAGAAAGTGTGCTTGCTTGTTAAAAAACAGTACCCCCTTGAAATTTTATGCATAGAAGAAGCAAACACACTTCCTAGACAAAGAAAGAAAGTCTTTGGAGAGGAGCAGCTCTCAAGCTAGCAACCCCACGTAAGCTGTATGTACACTGTTAAATTACTTACGGCTGAAACTTTTGATGAGTCTACCTAGAGGGACTCACAAAATAGAGAACTCTTGAAATACATGCCGTGGATTAGCTACATTCATCTTACTGTGTGCATACATGCTGAGTAAGATAAGGCAAAGAGATGGGCATTACATTCAAAAAAGATATTACGTTTTGTTCTGATGCTCTGTAACTTCTAAAGGAAGAAACAGAAAAAAAAGTCAGATAATGATATTTCAGAGATAGTTGTGTTTAACATTAATTTGCACTTAAAAAGAAAGCCTAAAATACGTCAAGTTTCTTTACAACTATAAAGGCAATTATACTAAATCAGGTAAATAAGATGTTTTAAATATCACAACATAGCTATTATATTTCTGTACTTTGAATATGATGATACAACGTATATACATTGTGCCTGTCTTAATTTTGATGTATTATTGCAATAAAAATAATACAATGTGTTAATACTATCAATGTAATTTTAAAACTTTATTTAATATTTAAAACCAAATACTCTGAATTCAAAGCTTTTCCACCATTAATGGAAAGCATTTTACTCAGGTTTTTACATAAAGGCTAAAGTAATGCCATACATTACTAAAGGCTAAACTAATGACATACATATTCTTTGAAACACGGATAGTAAAGAATTTATATTTTTGCAATGTAAAAGAGCGAGTATCACATCAATTATAATATGAAAGTTTCTATTTATCGCAATATTGATTTTAACGAATTACCATTCATATTTGGTTGTTCCAGTTCTTTGTTTTTGGAGTCATTAAGAACCATGCTCACTCATTTCCAATTAGTTAGATGTGTCTTCCCAAGTAATAGGTGGCTACCAGCTTTCTAGTTTTCAGGCTCAATGAAGCAGTGGTAGTCAGTTTTGGCTCAAAATCAAGGCTGTGGCCTCTGCAACCATCACATCTACTTTAATCTCCTCCAGGGCTATTCCTTGACAAATTTCCTGGACAGCATAATTAACCTCTTCCCATAGCACTTCCAAATGCTCCACACACAGTTCCCAGGGAATCAGCCAGCAGTGCCATAAATGTTTTAAGTTAGAAACAACAAAAAATATGCATTTCTAAAAGTAGAGTATTAATGAATACAATTAGCCCAATGTTGATTGCACAAACATATTTTAAAATGTTGTATATTAATTACATCCTTTATAAGTGAAGGGGACATTGCCACAAAATTAAAAGTCTGGGAGACTATATTTAGGTTATCTTTTAGCTTTAAAGGCAACATTATCACTGGGTCTTCTTGAAGAATACACACATACAAACATATGCACATGCACATTCACATACAAGAGAAATGATTTTGCTGGGTAATTTCCGTATGTAATTTTAGACAATAATTATAAAACATGTCTAGAATTTACAAAATCAGGTTTTCAAATATTAATAAATTATATATGCTTCAAATAAATGCCGTGCTATATTGATCGAGCTGGTAAAATCTCTTCAAGGCTTTTAATATAAATGTACCATTGTCAGAGGCATGTGATCCAGAGCAACTCCATCTTGAATAGGAGCTAGGTAAGATGAGGCTGAAACCTACTGGGCTGCATTCCCAGATGGTTAAGGCATTCTAAATCACAGGATGAGATAGGAGGTCAGCATAAATTACAGTTCATAAAGACCTTGCTGATAAAACAGATTGCAGTAAAGAAGCCACCTAAATCCTACCAAAACCAAGATCGCCACGAGAGTGACCTCTGGTGGTCCTCACTACTACACTCCCTTCAGCACCATGACAGTTTACTAATGCCATGGCAATGTCAAGAAGTTACCCTATATAGTCTAAAAAGGGGGGTGGAGGCGCATGAATAATCCACCCCTTGTTTAGCATATCATCATGAAATAACCATAAAAATGGGCAACCAGCAGCCCTCAGGGCTGCTGTCTGTGGAGTAGCCATTCTTTCATTCCTTTACATTCTTAATAAACTTGCCTTCACTTTGCACTGCAGACTCGCCCTAAATTTTTTCTTGCGTGAGATCCAAGAGCAAAGGGGTCCCGATACAGTCCTCTCTTGGGGTCTGGATCGAGACCCCTTTCCTGTAACATATTTCTCTGTCCTGTAATGTCATGAGTTCAAATTCAGGATCATTTTAAAAAGCTTTCAATATTGCTGTAATTTTTAAAAAAGATCTTGTGTTGTTGTTGTTGGTTTTTAAAAAAAGATAAAATCTTTGTTGTTTAGTGTAACTGCATACCAAACATTAAATATATTGTATATATTTTATAAGCTAGTAGAATATCATAATTAATGCATAGCCCAGATTCTTTTCCCTTTTTAATTGGAAAGTATCCAAATTGCAGAAGGAGAAAAACATCCCTATTCTTATTCTAAAGGGGAAAAAAAGCAAATGAAGTTAGAGGTACATGGCCATTATTAACTAGACATTCTGTAACAAATTATAATTAAATGGAAATATATTGCTTTCACCTGCATCCATCAGGATTTTTTTTTAAGAATCAGGAGAGCTAGGAATGGTAAAAATATGAATTCTACTTTGGATAATAATTTGATATCATATTTACTTATATATTTTAGCTACCTACAGGTGTGTACTTACATGTATATACACAGAAAATAAAAAATGAGGAAAACTATTTTTTCCACATACTATTTTCTCCTCCTCCTTGAAATAGCAACCTCTGTTGCCAGTAGAAACTTTACTAATTGAAATATTTATTTTCCTTGCCGGAGCAAATAAGACGTTAAACTAAGCAACAGTATTGGTTAGAGTGAGGAGACAGGAAATTCAGCTCACACCCAGCTACCCTTGCCCAGCGCCCCTCCTCTCCTCCTTTTCCTTCTCACTGCTCCAGGCACTGCAGAGGCCTCTCAGGGAAGTTCCTGTGCTGCAGGTGCTTTACTTTGTGTAGCACTTTTTAAACTCAATAAATGACTTTTCTTATGAAAAAAAAAAAAAAAAGAAATGTCCTAGGTTCTGAGTAAGTGTTGTTACAAATTACTTGAGTTAAGATGAGTTGTTCTCCTTTGTTTTAAAGTCTATCTAAAATATTAGTGCAAATTATTAGGAAAATTAGCAGAAAATGATACTGATTTTCTTAACCTGTTGCCTTCTCATCCATCCTTCCCATGCTGCTTAGAGGAGTGGAGAGTATGAGATATTCCTAATGTACACCATATTCCCATTACAGGGTACTTCCAAAAGTCCACAGATTGCCTATACCATAATTAATTCATTTGCTTAATCCTTAGAGTTTACTACAGAAATAATTATTATCCGGAATCTTCCAGATAGACTGCTCACCTCAGCAATGGGGAAGATCCCTAGACTGTAAAAAATTGTATGTAATATTTCTTTCTCCCAAATGTTGAGTCTCTACACAAAACAGCTGGTTGTTCGAGGGGAGTGGTGGCTCATGCCTGTAATCTCAGCACTTTGGGAGGCCGAGGCAGATGGATCACCTGCGGTCAGGAGTTCGAGACCAGCCTGGCCAACATGGTGAAACCACGTCTCCACTAAAAATAAAAAACTAGCTCAGTGTGGTGGCGGGTGCCTGTAGTCCCAGCTACTTGGGAGGCTGAGGCAGGAGAATCACTTGAACATGGGAGGCGGAGGTTGCAGTGAGCCAAGATTGCCTCACTGGCCTTGAGCCTGGGCGACAGAGTAAGACTCCGTGTCAAAACAAATAACAACAACAACAATAACAATACACAAAAACCCAAAGAAAGGAAAACAACTGTTTGTCAGTGATCCTCTCAGATCATTAAATTGACATTTTTGTATAGCATCATAAATCAACCATATAAGTAATCCTTTTCTACTTAGTTTTATTCATTAATTTAATATGTATTTTTATATACTGGACTAATTTCTGGGCACACTAATACATGCAATAGTCATGGACTCTGGCTTCACAGTTTCCCTCCTTTAAAGTGAAACATATATTTCTTTCTAAACAGGCATTTAGACAATCACATAAGTTTAAAATATAATTTGACAAAGGTACAAAGACAATGTAAAAATATTTTCCTCTACTTTTTCAGGTTACTGATTTTACTTAGAAGATAATTTATGGTAAGGGTAAAGTATTTAGGAAAAAACATATTTCCATTACAAAAACATAATGAAAGTATAAACTCTTCCAGAATGTAAATAATACTTAGCAAATCTTAACACAGGGAGGAGTTTCTATTATTTGATTTTGACATTGCTGAGGGATTCTATTTGGTTAAGTAACTGAAGAAATGTCAATATTATGTAAACTCTTACTTACAAATCATCTAAATTGCTTAGAACAGAGAGAATACATTAACTATAACCACTGAAGCCAACGTATTCTGATATTTTCAGCACATGTTAATATTCAACATTAGTGGAGACAAAATAGTGTGTTGAAGTAGTAGCAGAAAATTAATATTTTCTTCTTCCCCTGCTACGTTATGTTTTTAACTATATCATAAAAGTCAAAAATGCTTGAGAGCATTTGCTTTTACCAGTACCTTCCAGGGAAACTACAATAATAAATTTTAGTAATAACAGTAATAATGTACACTCATAAACACATACATGCATTTATTGAGTATATATAGCATATATTTATATATATATATGTATATAAAATATAGAAAGGGAATTTGCTACTGTCAGAGAAAGGCATGCATTCCATAGAGTGTTTTACTTACTGGATACAATCTACCCTTGTGACTACCAAAATGAAAGAAACACCATGCATCTTTAGTATTCCTATACCAAGTCGACCTTACTCCTTTCAGGGTCTATAAGCACATGCATTTAAATTGAGCATCTGCATTAACAGGAAAGTCTTCAGCAATAGCCTTGATGCTCCAAATCATGTGTTTTTGCAGCTGCTTTATGCTAGACGGAGCATGAAAGACTTTGCTCTATGGCCTTTACACACTCCATTCTCCAAATAACAAATTGGCTTTGCAGAAGCAGAGGAAGAGTAAGCAATGAAGTACTGTCACTTGGAGAGATTTGTACTAAAATCATCAACAACGTTGAAAGCTTTACCCAAACACTTAGGAGAAGAAAAGGTATTCACATTTTGGAATTTAATTGCAATTATACTCTAGGAAATGCTGCTTTTGCTACTCCTCCAACTTTTGACAGGGATAAAAGAAAAAGATTAATCACTAAGTAAAGAATTTGCAATGCATTAGCTACTAGATTCCATTGTTATAACTACACCCACTTCTGTAGAGATAGAATAATTTTCTTTCTTAGCTATTCCTTTACCTTTATTATGTAGAATGGAGTGAGAATTAGGGAGAGAGGTAGCAGAAGCCTAGAGCTGCCAAACTGCTGTAAATAGAAGAAAGGAAAAAGAAAAATAGGGAATGAGGAAAAGACAATCAATGTGTATGGAAAAGTACCTCCAGAGATCAAACTTTAGGCATTAATCATAACAAGTACCCCATATACTTGTTATGCAAAGGAAAATGAAATTTCCTGGTTTGTAACCACTATTGGGATCTGAGCAAGAGTAATTTGAAAGACAAGAGAGATCTGAGGTAGATGATAATGTGTCTACACAGTGGTAGCAAATGAGGACCATGGTGGAGAAGACTGGTTTGGGGCCTCTGGGTGAGAAAAGTAATTAACAGAGTTAATTCCATTAAGGGCTTAGAAATCCCAAAACTGTTATTTCCATCAGAGACAGGTAAACATGTCTGTGTGTGGAGGGTGCAAAAATGGCACAGAAATGTGAACAAATCCATGTGAAGTCCCTGCTTTTCTTCATGAAAGAAAAGTATGGCAGCTTAGAGTTGGGATTTATTTGTAGTTAGTACATAAGGACCATAGTCTCAATTTGAGAGGTATTTATGGGGAACAGGTCATAGAATGGACAAGATGCACACAGAAAATTGTCTGGGGAACACTAAGAACTCGACTGAGGTTGCAGAACATGAATTAACGTGTTCATTTGCCAAATGTGTTCATTAGCTCAGAAAAAAAAAGATAGCAGATGAGTGAGTACTTACAAGTCATAGGTGAGGAAAGGAAAAAAAAAATACAAGGAAATCTATAGGTTGGAGAAAGGTGGCGGGACATATAACCAGGAAAGAGGCTGATAGATTGGAAAAGTTGTATAGAAATGGGCTTTGGTTTCAGTCTAATGTGGGTTCATATCTAATCTCATCTTCTTACTAATTATTTGATCCTAGGCAAATCACTTAAACTTATTTCAGTTTCCTCATCCATACAATAAAGATGATAGTATTTGCCTGATAGGATTTTTGTGAGGATTAAATTAAATGATAATAGTTGACTATTACATTCATTATTAAAAAGAGAGGTAAAGGTGCGACAGACCTCAGAACGTTAATGGAGGCCTTTTCTCTGTCCTGCTGCATTCCTTCTTTTGCTTGGTGATGCCCAAAGCACCTATCGGACCAGAGTCTAGCTCACGCCTTCCTCTCAGGAAAGCTCCCTACTTCTCCTTTCTACTATTTCACAGCTCTGAAATTTAACCCTTGTTTCCATCAGAGGGTCTGTTTCCCCACTTCATAGCATAATGAAACTCCTTACTGCAGTTCTTTGTTTTCTCAGGAATTTCTTTTCTTTTTTACTTGTATAATCATTAGATTTCCTTTCTTTCTTTTTATTTTATTATTATTATACTTTAAGTTTTAGGGTACATGTGCACAATGTGCAGGTTAGTTACATATGTATACATGTGCCATGCTGGTGTGCTGCACCCATTAACTCGTCATTTAGCATTAGGTATATCTCCTAAAGCTATCCCTCCCCGCTACCCCCACCCCACAACAGGCCCCAGAGTGTGATGTTCCCCTTCCTGTGTCCATGTGTTCTCATTGTTCAATTCCCAACTATGAGTGAGAATATGCGGTGTTTGGTTTTTTGTTCTTGCGATAGTTTACTGAGAATGATGATTTCCAATTTCATCCATGTCCCTACAAAGGACATGAACTTGTCTTGGAAATACCAACTCAAATACATCTTCTTCACTAAACCTAGAACCATCTTTCCAGAATCTGTCTTGTCTAAAACCCTACAAAAAAGTTTACATTGTTTTAGCATGACTCAAGCCTATCACCCAGCTTCATTCTCTAGCATACTGCCAGAGTCTTTTCTAACAGTAGATATACTAAATTTTTTAAGATTCCTAGAAATCACCATGTTTATCATATCTCTGTGTCTTTTCTGGAGTCCTTGTTTTCTTCTCGTCTCCCTAGTAAAGCCTTCAAGATTCATACCAAACTCTAAAACTTTCTTCAGACTGAGTAACTGCTGCTATGAGTATCATAGCTCCGGGATGTATCTCCTATTATAGCATTTATCATACTGAGTTTTAATCACTGTTTTTCTTATCTTTAGCCCCTACTAAACCATGAAAATCGTGGAAGCTTTGTCTTATTTCTGTACGCATAGAACCTGGCATAAACAATGATACAATTAACCTCATAACAACCACATGGGATATGTATCTTTCTTATCTTTGCTATTTTGCAGAAGAGGAAACCATGAGATGAAGAGGTTAAGTTACTTGCCCAAGGACACAGACTTTCAAGGTGTAGAACTAAGACATGACTAGATTACCTTATCTGTCCAGTCCTCCCCAAAACTTTTACTAGCTTCTCAATCTAAAGCTTGTCACATCATAGATGCCCTATAAATATATGAACAATTAAATAATGTGTACATTACAAATAAGGCTTACGATAAAATCATCCCTGATATTCATTTGTCATTGGCCCTGCTAGGGTGGTATCTTCTTTCATGCAATTTTTGATATCTCTGTTCTCTGTAAACTTTAAAACGATTCTGCACCACAGATCTTGCATTCATTCACTTAAATATTTATTACTCAATGAATTTACATCCCTTCTTTCAAGTTATGCCTAAGAGAGTACAGTTGAAAAATTCCATTCATTAGGAGATTGGGGAATCTCAAGAATGGGCTTCACTAGACAGCTGCTCTGGTCTTAGTTACTGAGCTCCTTCCAAGGACCAAGGAAAGTACCTTGGAGAGAAAGACTTGGCAACAGAATCAACATTCATTTTCTCCCTTTCTCCATTCCTTTCTCCGTATAATCTAGCACAAAAGTTAACCCAGTTTTTCCAACACCCTCTGCCTCTACTACCACTGCTACTTCACCAGTGGGAAATTGAACAAAAAGAGAAGTGCTGGTAGAGAAGAGAAAAAGTCTGGGTAGAATCAATGAGAACAAGCTCAAGACTGGGTCTGCAGCAGTAGAAGGTCAAAAACTGCCTAAAAAACAAAACCCACCTCTATCATCAGTTACTAGAGTGCCAACATACACCGTATTTAAGATACTTAATAGATGCAAGTTTAGCATTTCCAATATGGAAACTATTCACAGGGATAGATAGGATAGAAGTTATTTTGAGTCCTAAAGACACAGCTATTCACAAACAATTTTAAGTCATACTTGGGGCTAGATTGTTGATCACACTGAATGGACAAGTTAATTTTTTTTGTAACTGGTCAGTTAAAGATACCTGCCCTAGAGAATAAGCTGGAATATTGCCAGCATTGCTGGCTGGCTCCCAATAGCAATCTGCCTTGGCTCTGTTTACTTCTCTACACGTATGGGGCATTAGGTTGTGGGGTGACTGAGATGTCAGCCACATGGCTAACTCCCTTTTCTGCAGTGTGCCTGTAAATAGATTGTTTTCATTGCAGTTAGTGGATACTTTGGTCCCTGTTCGAGAAGGACCTCAACTTTTAAGATTTTTTTTTTTTTTTAGATTCTGTGTATAGATGCACAAAATGTTGGTAGAAGTTTTATGGGGACCTCTGTAGGAGTTCTTGCCCATAAGAATTTTCTTTTCAAATCACAGTCTTTCCTGCAGTGTCTTAGAGACCAGACTCTCCCAGGATGCAAGGAAATCATGGAAAGAACACTTTTACCAAGACAAACAGGCAGCATTGAGGTTCAACCTGGAAAGTCATGACAGCAAATCAGGGCAGAAGTCTATTCCAATCTTGCACAATTTATAACAATGAATACGAGAAAATTACATATAGGATGGCTCAGAAATTGCATTATTGTTCATTAGCTAGGGCATAGTTGGTATTACAAGGAAAAACAGTCTTTCTGGAATTTTGTTTTAAGTTTCATTTTTTTCCTGAAGAAAATAAACCATGTTTAAACATGAGCACTGGCATATGGTACTGTTTTAGTCTGCTTAGGCAGCTATAACAAAATACCATAAACTGGGTGGCTAAAACAACAGAAATGTATTGTTTGCAGTTGTGGAGCCTGGGAAGTTCAAGATCAAGGTGCAACCCAATTTGGTTCCTGGTGTGGGTTTTCTTCCCGGCTTGAATATGGCTGTCTTCTGGTGTTGTCCTCATGGGGAACAGAGAAAGTGTCTGGTGTTGTCCTCACAGGCAATAGAGAAAGAAGGAGTGCCCTCCTGTCTCTTCATATAAGGACACTAATCCTATGAGGGCCCCACCTTATGACTTTAATTATCTCCTTACTCCAAATATAGTGGCTTCAGGGGTTTAGGGCTTTCATATATGAATTTTAAGAAGACTCAACTCAGTTCATTGTAGGCACTTTTACAAAAATTAAGCCACGTGATATCTAAAGTCATGATGCCAAGATGGCACTCAGGGCAGAGACAAAAATTTGACAGATATGTTCTATTATAGAGATTAGCTCTATATCTATTATAAAGATATTTATACAGAAGCATTATAAAGATGTGCTACTTAGAAGTGTCCTATAGATGTATCATAAATGTGTCTCATGGTTGATTCTTCAGAAATTATCAGTTTTCTCCTAAATTTCAATGCTACCTTAAGCAATAATTTTATACAAAGGTACTCTATCTACAAATTACTTTTTGCTTTCCTTTGTTTCTTTCTATATGTTTATTTCTAACTTGGTGGGCTTTTATTCCTGACATTTTTTTATTTGTGGTTATCATCAGATTACTGTCATTAGCTAATGGAGCTATTTCATCAACACAACAGAGAACCAGATGTGCCTGGGAACTTATTTCTTCAGATAGCCATTGACCAATATTTGACAGGTACAAGGATATAAAAGCCCAGGTCCCTCGACTCTATCAGGGTACATCTAGGGGTTAATTTATAATCTAAAGTTCACTGTAGGATCAGGCTGAAGCTACCCTCTAGGGGATTTTGCCTGAGATTGCATCCTTATTTGTCTTTTCCCCTCCTTCCTTGTCCTGATCCCCCCAACTTTACCAGTGTTTCCTGAGATCACTTCCTTAACAAATCATTTGCACACCTCATTTTAGGGTCTTTTTGGGAACACAACCTAAGACAGCATGTGAGATAAGATCCATGACATTATTAAGAAGATACAATGGAGAAGAATAGAAAAATAGCAATTGTTAAATGTTACCATTTTTTAGTATGATATCTTTCTAGCTGTCTTTCTGTTCCTACCTCAATGCCTTCTGTTCCTTCCATCCTTATTTGGTTCAGTGTCTCATCCAAGACTTTTTCCCTCACACTTTGCTCAGTCTGCCTGAGAGACTTAGTCTCACTTGAATTCCCACTTTTTTCTAACAATCCTGTTACTCTCGTAAGCCCCTAAGCACAATTCTCAGGATTGGTGAGAATACGTTAGGAAGGTGAGGAAGTATAAAGCTGTAGCATTTAAACAACTATGCACAGAGACTTGAACAGCACAGGCTAATGGCAACACCAGCATAAGAACGGGGTGAATCCGAGGAAATAGGAAGTTGGCAGATGGCAGGAGCAAAAAGAGCTAGAGGGAGTATACCAGAGCAAATGAGCATCAGAGATTCATGTTCAGTGCAGGCACACACTATGCACTCAGCGGTGATTCTGCCCCTTATTATAATTATGGTATTAAGGACTGAGAGGTTTGCCTTCCATCTTCCTGAACTTGACCTTTGTTGAGTTGGAGACTGAACAGTTTTTACTCGTGTTTGTCCCAGATGAAAGAGTGATCTCAAGAGAGTACCAGCTTTTAGTTTTGTCAAGAAGGAGAAAGTATTCAGGAAAGAGGTCAGGGGATGGAGAGGGAGGAAGTCAGAGGCATGTTTTAAAAAATGTAACAAATTTCATTTTTAATGGATAAAATATGGTTTTTCAGTCTCACCAATCCATGATAGTTACATCCAGGAAGGTAATCAAACAGCCCTATCCTGTCAAATTGACTGCTAACTCTCCTGTCATTATCGCTTTTCTCTCTCAGTGGCATGTGCTTCTCTTAGCCATTCTGCCATCTTCAATTCTGTCTGCTTTGGATTTCCTGACACTTTCTTGTGTGTTCTCCCTCTCTGGCCAATCACCCTGTCTCCTTGGTGGATTTATCTTCCTCCGCTTTATGAGAAACAATAAATATTGTTAAGGCCTTTTCCTATCTATGTATTTTCCTTTGGTGTCCATACATTGTATCTATGATTTCCACTGTATTTTATAAAATTACAGTAAATAATATACACGTATTTTTCTTTTTTAAGATTAAATGCTGCATTATTAGGGCAAGAACATGTTTTGTCCTTGCATTCACACTGCCTAGGACATAGAAAGCCTGGTAACAGATATTTTTAAGAAATAAACATTTAATAAAATATTTCACGTTTCTTTTGAGAAAATGCTTCAAAAATCACATTTTAAAATCTCATAACAGAGAAACATTATATTTGCTCAATCAAATGCTTATGTATTAATTTAAATATTGTTATCTACTACTTCATAAACAATATAAACCAACAAGATTACCTTAGTAAAAATAGAACACAGCTTTGAGCAAAAATTACATTTTGATTTATACTTAGATAAGCTTGCCTCATAGACCTTGTAAGATAGTTTTCTTTCTCCCTTAATAAGGAAGTCATATCAGTAGAAAAGTTTATAAATCACTAATGTGCTAATATTCTGTGAGTCCACCTGAGGTACCTTAGAGGAAAGAATATTCTCCAGTCTTCTTCAGCAGATAAATAAAAGAAATATTTTTGTAAATAAAAAGGCCAAACCTGTCTTTACAAGCCTTGGACCAAAAATTTTGAAATCTGAGACCTATCTTATATCAATTTGGACATTTAGTCAAAGGAAAAAGAAATTCCAAATAGTTTCATTACTCACTAAGTTAGCAATTCTAGGAATTTAGAGAGCACATTTGTGCAGGGGCCACACAACATTCCTAGAAGCAGGTGGTGTGTTTTATGAATTTAACACGTCATTCATTGTACATAGTATAGAATTGTGAGCTCTCGTGCTATTAAAATATTGTGACATTTTAAAAGCTTATCCCTGAAAAAAAGTTATACATGATATAAATATGGCTTTTTCCTTCTTTCTGATCTACTTTTAATTCTGAGATTTAATGTTCTCTTTCTGTCTCTCTTTTTAAAATCTGCTTAGTTTTCTAAGTTTAAATTAGGAATTCAACCCGTAACTCTCTACTGGTTGTCTAAATACCTCTCAATGCTGTGGGATGCATCAGGTAGTCCATCAGTTTCATCACCTTAAAGAAATCTCTCCTGGAGCCTCTGCTTGGCAGCACAGTGGACTAGCCACCCTCTGTTGGTGCAGCTCTCATCCTGAGATCTCACATCACTCTTACTCTGGGGATTCCTTTTGCTTCTTCCTGACCTGAATCCCTTCTTTCTGGATTGGCTACTCTTTCTTGGCTAATCATCCTGTTTTACTGAAGTACATCATCTAAGAGTTTTCTAAGAAACGGTGCATCAAGCTTAACTTTTTGAGAACTTGCATGTCTGAACCGTGTTTATTCAATGCCCTAAGTTAATTGACACTTTGTCTGAATACAGAATTCTATATTGGAAAACATTTTCCTCTGAAATTAGATGGCATTTTCTGTTGCCTCCTGGATTTTAGAGTTGAAGCTATGAAGAACAAAGCAATATTAATCCCTGAAAATTACGTAACCTGTTTTTTCATTTTAATTTTTTTTCCCTGGAACCTCACAGAGCCTTTTATATTTCTCCAGTGTTCTAAAATGTTATGATGACCTGCTTTGGTATGAGTTTGTTTTCATCCATTGTACTGGGCTCTCTCAATCTAAAAATACATTTATTTAATTACTAAAAAAAGTATTCAATTACTTTATTGATGACTTCTCTCACATATGTTCTGTTTTCTCTTTCTGCAATGCTTATTTTTTGAACTTCTGGGGTGACCTCAGATTTTCTTGTTTTCTCATGTATTTTTTTCATCATTTCCCCCTACTTCTGGAATATTTCCTCAACTTTAATTTTTACAACTTCCTCTGAGATTTTTATTCTTCTTCGCATACTTTTAAATTCAAAGAGCTGTTTTATTTTCTGCTCATTTTTAAAGTAGCAATTTGATCTTGTTTCATGGATGCAATATTTTCTCTGATCTTTATGAAGATCTTTATTTTCTTCCAGAATAGTTTGTTTCTTCTAAGTTCCTTCATTTTTGTTTGTTTGGGTTTTTTTTTTTTTTTTTCGTCTCTATATTTCATTTTAGATGATTTCCTTAGCTATCCAGTGATCTTGGGTTGTATACTTGTGTTTAAAAGCAGCTCAAGAATGGAATCTCTAAGCCCATGGGTAGAGCTTGTCAACTGTAAGCTTTGCTATAGAAAGGGTTGGTAGGTTATTTTTTTTTTTTTAGGAAGTCCAGCATCAATATATTTCTTTAGACTAGTCAGATTCCTCTGAGGAGAATATTTCAACTGTGTCTCTGGAGAGCTGCCAGCATTCTGAAGCCTTAGGAAAAGAAGGCTAGGTGGCTCTCAATAGAACTGGCATGAATTCAATGATAATGACAGCCTATACACATTTCTTCCCAAGTTGACATTCTAGGATATCATGTTGACTGTTAGAAATTGGATGTGGTGGTACAATTTACACCATGGAGGTCGGAAAATCCTACAAATCAAGGCTCTTTCTTCCCAGAGAGATGGTTTTTAAACACATAGCAGCACAGCATCTGTCTTGATATTTAATATTTATTGTTTCACTTGTTTCCCTGATTTCAGTCCAGTACTTCAGTGCAAAGATACTCTGTTCTACCTACTTCAAAGAAAAAAAAATTATTTCATTATTTTCAGGGATATTGGAGAGGAAGTAGAAAGGTTATATTGGATAAGGTAGAAGATCTGGGGTTCCAACTGCTTATTAAACAGACTTTTTAACCAAAGTTTTGAATCCAACCTCTGCCCTCACTGATATAGGTGCTTGGCACTTTCAATTCCTGAAGCTTTGGAGGAGATTCCATGGAACAAATCAAGTTTTTTCTTGATTTGTGCCTTTGTGGGATTAAGATTTGGCCACCTCGGTTCTGCCAAATCAATTACACTCATCCATGTGCTATCCACTTGCCAAGATTAAGTTGCTATTGTTTTCTATCCCCTTCTTATAGTTCAGTGGTTTGTGCTTTAAAAGTTCTTTTTGTTTTAGAAGGAATAGGAGAATATTTTTAAAATGTGTATATGTTGTCATCTATCTTTATTCAACTGAATTTTTAATCAACCAGTTAAACCGTGGGAGGGTCCCAAGTAGTCTCATATTGTGGCTGCACGTGGATCAGCTCTGACTACCTCCATGTCCCTGTTGGAGGTTAATTGTGACCTCATAATGATATGTTCAAGCCCCAACCCCCAGCTTTGCGAGTGTGACCTTCTTTGCAAATAGAGTCTTATAAGGTAATATGAGGTCATACTGGATTAGTTCTTAACCAATCACTAGTGTGCTTGTAAGGGAAGGGGAATTTGGATATAGAGGTGTGGGGAAGACCATGTGACAGTGGTGGCAAAGAATGGAGCAATGCATCTGCAAGCCACAGAATGCCCAGGACTGGCAGCAACCACCATGAGCTAAGAAGTGGGGGGGAAAAAAAGGTTTTTTTCTCTAGATCCTTCAGAGGGAACATGGTTCTATGGACATATTAATTTTGGACTTCCAGCCTCAAGGACTGTGAGAAATTAAATTTCTGTTGCTTAAGGCAATTCCACTTGTGGTACTTTGTTATGGCAGCCCTAGAAAACTAATACAACCACCAGTGATCTTCTCCCAAGGCTTTACTCATTCCTTGGAGTAGGTGGACAAATAAGGAGAAAGGAAGTCTAGGCCATCGGCAGCACTATGACCATTTAAGCATTAAACCCTGCTCCTATGGAGTATATGACAGTTAGGTCCCTGCTTCTGCCAACTCCTGCTCAATTATCTTAGGTATTCAAGAATTTAGGTTACAACTACACCCTAGTTGTAAAGCCTCAGATATATATATTCAAAGATATTTATACTTAAACATTGGAAGCTGTAAGTGCAGATCAGCTTTGGGGTTTCAATATTTCATCCTTGAGATTGGCAATTTTCAATCATAATTGGTAGCAAAGACTTCTTGAGCTAAGATAGCATTTTCATGAAGTATTTTCCCAGAATCATATATATTGTCAATATTTACGTAGAATTTTTGTGATTTTTTTTTTGTTTGTTGTCATTAGTGATATTTTGGGAAACAACTTATATCATTTGTGGCAATTAATATAAAAATATTTACACAGTGATTATATTTAAAACCTGTTTTCTGCCTAAAGTAATTGAGTACTTAAACATCTAAGGTTAAGAAAACCAAGAAAAAGAATAAGTTAGTTATAATAAGACAGATGACCTTTTAAACAAAAACGTTATAACCCATGTCTATACATATAATGAAAATGATTATTTGATTTACACTGAATTACTGAACCTATAAAATATATTCTTACATATAATTTTTGTCAGAATTCTTACTATAATGCCCTTTTTGGTAGGAAAAAGTAACTGTCATCTAAGTTAGCCTACTGACAATACTGAATATAAATAAAATTTAAAGTCTCTACATAATATACATTATAAAAACTAATCTTTAGCAAATGAGCTATGAAGCATTTCTAACTTGGGAAACTCAAACAAAAATAAATCTTGAAAAATAATTTAAAACTTGAAATATCAAAAATCACAAGTGTAGCAACCGATATTTTCATCTATTTCTTTGAAGTTAGAATAGAAATACAATATTATCAGGGATTGAATAGGAGCTTTGTTGGAACTGATGATAAGGACTGTTTAAGACTAGCTGGGATTTATGAGAGATCAGACCATGAAAATCGTTCAAGTAGTAAACTGTCAATTATAAGGTGTGGTTAACAAGAGCACGAAGCTTGGCATAGATAAGTAATATTGCCAAAATTTCTTTATAAGTTCAATTTACTATTGATTTTAATATTAAATACTCATTCAATTATCTATACAGGCAAGAAAAGACTGGAAAAGTAAAACCTAAGTCTTCATTATAAAAGCTATTCTTATCCAAATCTTTAATGTTTTCAACATTTTAACTTACCAACTCCACTTGCAAACTATGACCAATAAAATAAAATATAATCTAGTTAACATAATTAGGGTCTCAAATTTTTAATAAATCTTTGAAACAAATACATTTTCAGAAAGAGAATATTATCAGAACAAAAAGGATGCAATAACATTTAAATGAAAAAATGATTTATTAGTGTTCTCTACCTTCAGATAGTCTTTTAGATTTTTTAATGAATTATACTATAAAGGGTTTAAATACGTGAAAAATATGCTCAAGTGGAGAGGTAAATACTTTTTAGATGATGAAAGTGTCATATCTCTACAAAAATCTTCCAGACAAGGTCTGAGCTTAAAAGAGTATTCAAGTTGCCCATTTACCCTCATTATAAGTTAACATTCTGGTAGAGTATTTGAAATCATTCACATAGTAATCATTGGAATGCAACATAAGTGTTTAAAATAGTAATTAAAGAATTTACAACTACCAGGAGAAGCAGCTCTTCAGATGACTAGAAAATTACATGCTTGATAAAGGGGATGAAAGGTCATTTCTACCACGGAGCACTCTAACTTGGCATGCACGTTATGAATAGCATCATGGCCTAAAACTGTACTTCAGTTATTGTGTTAATACATTTGTCCTAGTTTGCCCATGACCTTGCTTTCTTTCTAAGAGTGACTGATTCATGAAGACATTAACCAAGGTATAGAGGAGTTAATAGCTGTTTCTGTATACTCTTGGTAATTATGGTAATTTGAGCTGCCCGTCAAAAACTAGCAAATATGTTTTATAAAATAAACATAAAAGCATATTGTAAGGAGATTCAATTCCTTATGAAGATTAGATCTTGACTTCCAAAAAATTTACAAACATTTTGTGAACCCAGGTAATCTATGCATACGAAGAGACTTTAATCTTAAAATAGCCAAGAGTTAGATCATTCATACTTGACTTTAGCTAGTCTATCCAGGATATACTGTTATCTGGAAAGATGTCAGAAAAAAGCTGAGCAGAGTGATAGAGACCCTAACCAAGTGGCTGGAATCCATTGAACTGAAATGCTAGGTAGGGATACTAAGCAAAAATCAAGTATTAGTATTCTCTCAATAGTGCAAACTCAACTCTAATTGGGTCAAGCATTTAGAAAAGGAAAATTTGGGCATTCGTATGCCCTTGATTTCTCCCTTTCCCTCCATCTCTCCTTCTCTCCCCTTCCCAAATCTTTATATCGGATTATACTTTCTTCTCTCCATCTGTAGTAAAGCCCACTTAATATTTATTTATAATCTAAAAATTATTACATAAATTATTAAATATAGTCATTTTTCTGTATGTATAAACACATCATATTTGAGTTCAAATTTTACTCAATCATATTTTCTATGTGCTGTCAACTTTTCTAGGCCGTGGGCATAATGCAGTGATCAAAAGAGAATCATTGATGAGAAGGAAACTTACATTCAGTGGGCACAGATCTAGATTTAATGTTGTTGATTGTTTACTATAAGGTTCCTGCTACTACTCTAAGGCCTTTAACCTTGCTTATTATTCATTACAATAACCCTGTGAGTAGGTAATATGATTTTCTCCATTTTATAGATTAGAAAACTGAAGAACAAAAAAATTAATTTTTAAAACGTCTTAAATAACCAGTAGCAGAACATAAATCAAGTATTCTGCCTAAAAATATGTCTTCAGAACCACTTTGTAATACTGCCTCTCACTATAAACAAATATCAGAAAAAACTTTTATTAATGTTATCATAAAAAGTCTTCAGTGCTAAAGTTGATACTACATATATAGGTATTGGTTAAACAAATCACTGAAGAATTTTACAATGGAACAGTATATAGCCATTAAAAGGCAGGAGTAAATTTTATTCATTCTACGTGAAACAATTTCCAATATATATTCTTTTTAAAAATATTCAAGGTTTGGCCAGGCGTGGTGGCTCATGCCTGTAATCCCAACACTTTGGGAGGCTGAGGCGGGTGGATCCCCTGAGGTCAGGAGTTCGAGACCAGCCTGACCAAAATGGTGAAACCCCATCTCTACTAAAAATACAAAAAATCAGTCAGGTGTGGTGGTGCATGCCTGTAATCCCAGCTACTAGGGAGGCTGAGGCAGGAGAATCACTTGAACCCGGGAGGCGGAGGCTGCAGTGAGCCAAGATTGCGCCACTGTACTCCAGCCTGGGCAACAAAAGTGAAACTCCGTCGGGGGAAAAAAAAAATTCAAGGTTCTAGATAGTCAGCAGACATGAATTTGATGTAGTTTGTATTTTATAAAGTAATTAATATTTTATAATTTATTTTATACATCACACACAAAAACACATACGTACATTTTCACATACACACAGACATTTTCCAATAAAATTACCAAGGATTATTTTTAAGAAACAGAATGTAGTATTTGCAATAGCATGAAAAGTTTTATCTTAGTACACATTATCAATAAAACATATTTATAAAATAAAATCATCTTGCCCTAATATGTGCTTACCATTAAAATGACTCTATAATTAAGCATCTAAAGTTAATATTTTATTTGTTCAAGTATAAATATTTATTTCTACTTTGTAAGAAAATCAAACAAGGAGTAAACAAGTTGGGAAAATTCATAGTTTTTTTTTTTTTAACAAGTTATTTGTGTGCATGTGTGCTTCTTGATTGGAATATTCTTTTTTTTTTTTTTTTTTTTTCCGAGATGGAGTTTTGCTCTGTCACCCAGGCTGGAGTGCAGTGATGCAATCTTGACTCACTGCAACCTCTGCTTCCTGGGTTCAAGTGATTCTCCTGCCTCAGCCTCTGGTTCCAGAGTAGCTGGGATTACAGGTGCGTGCCACCATGCCCAGTGAATTTTTGTATTTTTAGTAGTGATGGGGTTTCACTACGTTGGCCAGGCTGGTCTCGAACTCCTGACCTCAAGCGATCTGCCCACTTTGGCCTCCCAAAGTGCTGGGATTACAGGCGTGAGCCACCGTTCCCAGCCAATTGGAATATTCTTAATAGAGACATCTTCAAATATCCATATTTTTCTTTCATGTTTGCATGACATTAACTTATCTAAAGTTTATTTTCCAAGTTAGAGCAGATACTGAGCGTAAAAATGAATAAATTTTAAGATAGCAAAATATTTTACTTAAATAGTTCACTTCTTTTGTACTGTAAAAATTATGGAGTGAAGATTTGTATGTTTTCTCTGATTAATTTGAACCACATTAAGACATAAGATTGGCACCTATGAAAATAATTTTAATATAAATATTTGCATTCAACTATTCCATATGGGAATCATCGGGAGACAGGACATTTGGCTTTTGGCTCTGAAAACAACATGTGATAAACGTGACTTTTTAAAGTTAGCATGCATTGCTGACTGTTATTTCTGGGTAAAACATGTATAAATTAGGGAAACTTGAAGGAGATAGTTCAATGCAAAAATTTAAGACAACATTAAAAAAATTAGGAATCTTTTTAGATTTTAAGGTTTCTTCATTTCAACACCTCTTTATTTTTCTTGTTATATTTTTCTTGATTCCTTATTTTCTTGGGATTTGAGAACATAAAATGGAGTTAAAATGCTCTTCTCACATTCTGGAGAGATAATTGGCAGATAAGACTTTAGGAAATCCATACTCCACTGTCTTTCCTGTCCAGAACTGAATATTCTCAAAGTGATTTAATATTTATTTCCCTTACTACAGTATGGAAGTGATGAGGACACACACCAAGATGACTCATTCTACTTTTAGAGAGAAGCACTTAGTAGTGACTGGCACATCACAGGAATTTAATCAATAGTCTCTGAAAGAATTAATGAATAAATGTGTGACTGGACTGCATTACACTGTACAGTACAGCGGGATGTAACCCTTTCCTTAAGAAGAACGTAAAGACAAATGTATTGCCCTGGTAAAAACACTCCATAATCAGGAATCTTGAAACCTGGGATCAAGTTTCTTCTCTGTGCTTACTCTTTCTGACTTATTCTCTCAATACTTCAATTTAATAAGCAACTGAAACAAACCAACCAAAAAAAAAGGGCAGATAATTTTATATGATCTTGAAGTCTTTTCCAGTTTTGAGATATAATCTGACTGAAATTATTTCCTGTTTTTTTTTTAAAAAAAGAAAGAAAACAGCAACAAAAAACAAATATGAGGCTTTATCTTGCTTCAACCATTTGTGTGTGTTTGTTAATTAATTAACACGTGATGTGATCTGTAATGTAAGAAATTCTCACCACGGGAACTCTCATCACTAAAGATGTTCTACATCTTTAATAAAGATGAAGACTAAGTCCAAAAGATAAAATGATTAATGTTTACATGGTTTCCTCATTCACCTCCCTCCACCCCACAAATCTCTAGGATTCCTTTATCCCCAAAACACTGTGTCATCACAAGTCACTCTGTAACCCTTCTTCTGTATCTTTCTCTCCTCCTCCTTCTCCTCCACCTGTACAACTGACATTACCTAAATTTCCTTAGGGTATCATGTGCAGTCCCAGAAGTTACAACCTAAAAGGGGAAGTTCCCTTTTCTCATCTTAATTTCTGTTTGAAACATACTTGGAATTAAAACAAGCAAAACAGGGGGCCAGGTGCAGTGGCTCATGCCTGTAATCCCAACACTTTGGGAGGCCAAGGTGGGCAGATCACTTGAGGTTAGGAGTACGAGACCAGTCTGGCCAACATGGCAAAACCCCATCTCTACCGAAAAAATACAAAAATTAGCCAGTCATGGTGGCAGGTGCCTGTAATCCCAACTACTAGGTAGACTGAGGCAGGAGAATGGCTTGAACCCGGGAGGCGGAGATTGCAGCTAGCCAAGATTGTGCCATTGCACTACGGCCTGGGCGACAGAGTGAGACCGTTTCTCAATAAAATACGATAAAATAAAATAAAATAAAATAAAATAAAATAAAATAAAATAAATGAAACAAGCAAAATCATGAGGCAGTAGAATAGAGGAAATCAGAATTAAATGCCACAGAAGTCCTTCACCTGAGACAAGACAGGGAGGTGAGGAGATTCAGGTCCCTACTGTGCCTCCATCTGAAACTTCCTTACGTTTTATTATTGTGCTTACCTGAGATCTGAATGATTGCAAATAAGGAGGAGGAGGAAAAGTAGAAAGATATTTGGAATTGTGGCTGGCTGGCTGGCCCAGGCACAGCTGACTGGGAAGGTCCTTCCCTGCCTGCCTTCCCAGCTGTGGTTTAGGCTATTGTCCTAAAGAGGAACTCAGCCATGATTGCATTTCAGGGAGGGCTTCTTGCCTCTAGGACTCTCCTCTTTATCCCAAGTTCTAGTCAAAATTCAAGTATTGTTCTAAATAGCATATCATATGGGAAGAAAATGAAGTTTCCATTTTTAAGCTTCTGCCAATTCTATTTAATTTGGAGCAGTTTTCAAACTTTTTAGACCATGCCCAGAGGTAACAAATAGATTTCACTTAGCAATCAGTATACACATATATGTGTAATATAAATCTGAAAACAATGCTTCCCAAAACAAGAGTTACAACACAAAATAAATACTGATATTTTCTGATTTATTCTATCTCATTTTTAAAAAAATACTGGCTGGGCCAATTACGTCTGTTGGGAGCAAGGCTCAGGCATTAGGATTTTTTTGAAGTTCTCGCCTTTGATTCCCATGTGTAGATAACTTTGGGAAGCACCACTCTAGAGGTTTTTCAGGTGAATTCTCTTGGGTTTCTAAGGACTATGGCTTTACCATTTATAAATAACAGTACTTTTTATCTTTTCATTTACAATCATTATATATTATATTTTTGTCTCTTATTGTATCTTAGAATTTTAAGAATGATATTAATAGAAATAAAAGTAAAAATCTGTTTTTAGAAGCTGGTCTATAAAATTGATTTCACACCCCATTAAATGGTCACAATTCACAGTTTGTAAATAAGCTGGTCTACAGGAAGAGTCAGTAAACTATGGCCCATGGGACAAAGCAGGTCTGTCACTTGTTTCTATAAATAAAGTTGTATTGATCACAAACAGCCACATCCATTCCTTAATGTATTATCTATGACCACTTTCCTGTAACAATGGCAGAAATGAGTAGCTGTGACAGTGACTGGTCCACAAAGCCTATAAGCTCTTTATTATTTGTCTTTACAGAAAGCCTGCCAATTCTTTGTTTAATGTAAGTTTTTTGCATTGGAGGTGAAGTAAAGAGGTTGGAAAAGGAATGAGGATCTAAATCATGAATGGTATTCCAATCTAGTGATAGGATTTTATCCTCGGGGCAATAATAAGCCATTCCTCTGCAGGAATCAAGCTCCCTTCTAATCAACGGTCTCCCACTGTGTTCTGAAACCCTGAAAATGGCACTCTTAGGCAGGAATAAAATTGTTTTGTTTCTTGTGCATTTCCAGGCTCCAATGGTTGGTGTTCTCTGTAAATATGCTAAATGTGAAATCAGCCTTTGCCTAATTTTGAGTGTGAATCTGCTGGAATTTTTAACTTCCTATCTATTTTTAGATAAAGACTCTTACTGAGTCTCATCAAAGAGTTTCATAGCTTGGGACTAGGTTCACTGGACCATTTGACTCCACATAAATTTGGCTTTTCCTTGCTTTCTAAGGAGGGGTGGTATTGGGCATCAACCATGCTTCCTGCCTGAATCATTTGCTGTGCTTTTGTCAGTACATAAAGTAAGCAACAAACCCATGCAATTAAACATGACCAAGAGACCAGTTTTAAAAAGTTACTTTTTTTTCAAGCAGGTAATATTTCATTCATTCACTAAGGAGACAGGGCAAACATTTATACAATCTATCAAATATGTTTTGCTTAGGTAATCACAGCAGTCACAGAATTCTTAATGGTAATTTAGAGTCTATTCACACTTGCCTCAAAGACAGCATTAAAGAACCTATCAATGACCCTGAGAATCATTACTAAAGTCATTATTGTTCTGATATTACAATCCAAAGCTGCATGTTTATACCTTTTTATAATCTAAGAAGTATGGCCAAAAGAAAATGCTTGAGGTAAAAGATCTCAATTACTTTAATATTTTATTTTCTTTACCAGGTGGATTTTGTTAACAAGAGGTTAGAAAATTAGAAAGATCTTCACCACATGCTTAGAAATAAAGATCTTGTAAATAGTTTATAAAAAAATGCAGTGGGAAAAATTTCAAACCTAAATTATTATTAAAGCTGCACTAAATGTGAAGAAAATAAAGGTGATTTCCAAAAAGAATGGTTAGGTGTCAAGAGTGAGAAGTGAAGAATGTGGAAAGATTAATAAAACCAAGCAGGATCTCGTTAATCAAACTTCCCCAAGTGGCACAAATGATTTGATTTGAATTTGCCTCTATATACACCAATGATGGAATCTGCTGTTTTTGTGAAGCAGCCAAAATGTCTACTTGATAAATGGGGTAATTCTTTCAAAAGTACCTATTCTGTTGTTTCTTTTATATGTTGATGATGTACACAGTAAAACTAAGATTAATTATTTGCTAAAAATATAAATAAAGCTTTGATCACTTTTACCAGCTTTTGATTTTTTTTAATGAATTGACCAAATAACATCTTTAAACTGAATCTCCGTTTAAAGGGTTGAACATGCAGAGAAATACCTCTGCATGGAATGAATTTAGTTGGCCAGGAGAATGTCTTAGACCAATGAAAATAATATGTTTCTCATGTCAAATGTTAAGGCTTTGAATAATAACAATTTTTTAAAATAGTACAATTACCTATACATTTTAGGTCTAATATAAATGTACCTGAGGAAAAATTAGGTTAATATTTCTCCTAAATGGCACCTTTTCTCATCATTCTCTTGAAAAATATGACAAAGATTTGTGTTCAAGTCTACCTAAAGCAAAACAAGTAAAACAATAAAAGAATCAAGCCTACAAACAGGCTGGTTGGACTTTTTAAAAATCAGATATATTGAGATAGTTGTTAAAAAACACATCACAAAAGGTACAATAAAACTTTGGGAAGATTAGCTAAATGAATATAAATATTAAAAAAACAAAACCAGACAACAACATAAAACAGCATTCTTAATATTGTTAATAATATCCTCAGTGACAGTGACCTCATTGGCATCTTGGCGAAGAAATAATTTTTGTGGCCAATTTTATCACAGATTTTCTGTAGAAATATCCAGTATTTAGTTTCCATTTTATTCAAAGTTATGTATTGGTATGGACTGAATTGTGTCCCCACAAATTTTGTATGTTGACACCCTAACCCCAAATATCACTATATTTGGAGAAAGGGCTTTTAGAAAGTAATTAAGGTCATTAAGGTGGGACTTTAATCCAATAGGATTGGCAACCTTATGAAAAAAATCTTTCTCTGTCTCTCTCTCTCTTCTCCCCCCTTCTCTCTCTCTCTCACTCTCTCTCTTTCTTCTCTTCCCCTCTCTCTTCCTCTCTTCCCTATGAGGATACAGTAAGTAGGCAGTCATCTGCAAGCAGGAAGACAGCCCTTTCCAGAAACAGAATCACCTGGAAACTTGATCTTGGACTTAGCCTCCAGAACTATAAGAAATACATATCTGTTGTTTGAGGCATCCATTCTGTGGTAGCTTGAGCTAAGATATACACATTCACAGTTTAAATAGACAAATATTTAAACAATTTTTTAATATTTGTTATAAAAATATCCATACCTACATATTGCAGCTTTCTTCCCCTCCAATTCACAATCCCTAGAGCAGTGGTCTTAACTTGGGAAATCCCCGCTCCCTTGGGAGCCCTTTGGTAATGTCTAGAGACATTTTTAGTTGTCACAAACGGTGAAGGGAGAGAGAATTGCTACTGGCATCTGGTGGGCAGAAATCAGGCATGCTTTTATACATTCTATAATGCACTGTATAGCTCTGGACAGCAAAGAATGAATGTCAGTAGGGTGAGGAATTCTGCCCCAGAAGCAACAAATTTTAATGCTGTAACTTTTTAGTGTTTACCTTCAATCTCTAAACAATATGGTTTCTTTCCTGCTTCTCAATCTTTCTTTTTTATAAACAGCTTTATAATTCACATAGCACACAATTCACCCATTTAAAGTGCACAATTAAATAGTTTTCAGTAAAGTCACAGATATGTGCAACCATCACAACAGTCAATATTGGGACATTTCCATCACCTCTAAAAGAAATCATGTATTCTTTAGCAATCACTTGTTCTGCCTCCACCACCACTGTCTTTTCCCAGCCTTAAACAACTATTAATCTACCTTAATCTACTTGCTACTTTTTTCACTAGTCTCTATCAATTTCCTTATTCTGGAATTTCTTCTCAATAGAATCATATGGTATGTGAACTTTTATAACTTGTTTTTTTTACTTGGCATGTTTTCAAGGTACATCCAAGTAGTAGCATATATCAGCATGTACTCATTTCATTGTATGGATATACCATGGTTTGTTTATCCATTCATCCGCTGATGGATATTTGGGATGTTTCCACCTTTTGGCTAGTATGAATAATGCTACTATAAACATTTGTATACAAGTTTCTGTGTGAACATGTTTTCATTTCTCTTGGGTATATACCTAGTGGAGTTTCTGGGTCATAGGGCAACTAATCATTTGAGGACCTGCCAGACTATTTTTCAAAAGCAGCTGCATCATTTTACATTCCCACCAGCAGTGTATGAGTTCTGATTTCCCACATCCTCCCAACACTTTTTATCTGACTTTTTGATTCTAATGATTATAGCAGGCATGAGGTGTATCTTATTATAGTTTTGATTTGCATTTTTCTGATGCCTAGTTATGTTGAGCATCTTTTCATGTGCTTACTGACCATTTGCATATCTTCCCTGGAGGAGTGTCTACTGAGAATTCTATCTGCCTCATCCTTCCTCACCAACCTCCAGTAGGCATATGCACACATCCCCTTCTCCCAATATACTGAAATTGTTAAATCATTATTTTTTACATGATTATAAAAATGATTAAGATATAAAATGTATCAATAATTTTGATAGCTGAAACATATTTTATGATTTCATAAGTTTTTCCCTCTGGAAAAATTATGTTATATTGTTGTTGTTTGCTTAGTTATCTTTGTACTTCTCACAACTATATCCCAGAACTCTATTTTAGTTGTATCAGTCTCCTCTCAATATATTTTAAAAATTTCATCTTCTTGAATAAACCTTTTCAGGAGCCATCTCATCTGCTGAAGGTCAGCTACACAAATATTATTTTGGGATCTTTCTTCTCAATTGTCTAGGGATTCCCGTCGCTCTCTCTTATGTTGGAGACTTAATTTCCTGGATCCCATGACTTTAAGTCTTTCCTCAAATACTTTGTAAGACTCATAGCTGTCTGCTCATCTATAAAACTGGGCCACTAAAAAGTTGATTAGAAGCTCTGAGTGGGTAGGTGGGGCTTTTCAGTTTACAGACCCACAGAATGGTTTTGTTTGGAAACATTCTAAGGATGTGTAGGATCTTATTTTGGGGCTGTGTGCATTTATCACAAATGATACATTTAATCCTTTTATGTTAGATAAAGCCTAGTACCAGGCTCTGGGAGCCCAGGGGGAAGCTGGAATTTCAACATGCTCTAGTAAAAATTCCCTTAATCTCCAGATTTTTAGAAGTTATCCCCCATCAACGGTGCTTGGTATCCCCGAGTCAGTCAGCTTCTGCTTTATCTTCTACAGTTAAGAAACCTAACTTTTCCAGTGATAAAGCAACAGACATTTGGTTGTAGGCAAGGGAGAGGCTGATGCTCCAATTACTTTTTAAATAGACTTTCAGCAAATCTTCCTATGTAGAGCGCCAATTTGTCCCAATTTTTGATAATCTCGTACTTCCAACTCCTAAACTTTTGTGGTGTTCCCTGGTAGACTGAATTGGCTCTAAGCCTCCTTTATTCCAGTTTGGTTCCAGCTTTCTTGGTTTGCTAAATCAGTTACTACTTACCAGTTTCTTTCAGCTTTCCAAACCGTTTTTGCTGCGAAATCCTTTCTTATGCTTTTTCCTAATGTCATCACTGCCATGTTTCCTATCCCATTCTCTTTTCCTAATATTTCTGCTAAGTTATCCTTCATTGGGATTATTTTCATCTGATGAGTTTTGGAGAAAATGTGAAGGCTAATTTGCATGTTCAATCTGTCAAACATAAGACAAAGCCTTCTTTTTGTGTTTTAAGTTAACTTTTTTGTTTTGTTTTGTTGTTTCTGTGTGTGTGTGTGTGTGTGTGTGTGTGTGTGTGTGTGTGTTTGAAGTGGAGTCTCACTCAGTTGCCCAGGTTGGAGTGTAGTGGCTCAATCTTGGCTCACTGCAACCTCTGCCTCCCTGGTTCAAGCGATTCTCCTGCCTCAGTCTCCCAAGTAGCTGGGACTACAGGCACTCACCACCACTATGCCTGGGTAATTTTTGTATTTTTAGTAGAGACGGCGTTTGCCATGTTGGCCAGGCTGGTCCCGAACTCCTGACCTCAGTTGATCCACCCTCGTCGGCCTTGCAAACTGCTGGGATTACAGGCATGAGCCACTGCTCCTGGCCTAATTTTATTTTTGAACGGTGTTGTAGAACAAATACAATTAGCTAGTCTACTAACACTTTCTTTGCACACAAGAATATGTATATTATTCTAGATCAGAAATAGCCAGTAGGCATAATCTTTATACAAACATTAATCTACTAAACCACATTATTTTGATGTATTATATCAGTGGGGAAATTAAACAGTACTACTGGTCTTTGAATTAGAAATGATCCAATATATATTAAGCTAAGACATTGCTCTAAGAACATATATGATTAAAATATGCTTTGATAATATTTTTCCCTTAGACTCAGCCATATATTATGTCCCTAGAATGCATGTACCTATTCTAAATAGATCACTCTAAAAATATGGAATAATTTAGTAACTAGATATGAATATTAATGTCCTATCAGATATTCTACATCTGCAACTAAGTTATGTATTACTTAAAGTAGTACTTCTCAAGGGTTGATCCACAGACTGTTTTCAACACAAATGCAAAATTTAAAAATAAAGATGTAGGTTCCTTAATCCTGCTTAAGAACTGCTGTGTATGTATCTCTGAGTGTGAAGGCAGAAGGTCTGCATTTTGATTCAACTTTCCAGGTAAATCTGAAACAATTAAATGTGAGAATAATACTGAAATAAAAAGAATGCATTTAATGAGGTTATGAAATTAGTTTTATCTGTGAGCTTTAATGACTTTGTTTTTATGTAGCCCAAATGGCATAAAACACAGGGTGTTTGTTTAAATATAGCTATTTTCTGGAATAAAAATTTTGACAAAGTGGTATCCAGATGACTTAGATGTCACAAAAAATAATTAAAAGAAAGAGATGAGTTGCCAAGATCCTCAATAAAGGGACAACTGAGTACTTTCAGATGCACACACCCTTAGGGGAAGGCTTAAACAATGACTGTGATCAAGTTAGGTGAGAGTCTGGGGAGGGAAGTTCTGGCCTGTGCTCCACCTTATCAGTTTTAGGAGAAAAAGTACTAAGAATATAGATGACTTTTCACATATCGTACTGACTTCCTTGCTAGAGGGACTGGGTAGGTAGGACTCAACTATTCGAAAATTCTTTGAAGTGATGTGAAGTTTCTATATATTATGAAAGCAGGGATCATGTCTATCAAAATCCTTATTTTATCTATAGCATTCAACACAGTGCCTACCACACACAGTAGAGGTCAGTAAACATTTGGTGAATCAATAAACAAATAAAAGACACTTGACCATGAGAGGCCACAATACTGAGAAATTGGAGATGTTTCGCAGGGTGGATGCTGCTGGATTCAACAGAGTTTGGTACTGGGAGCCTCACTCTCTGTCAGTTTCTCTCCTCTGCTCAAGAAAAGGGCAGAAATAGAAGTCACTGTTAGCTCATCTGAGAACCATCCTCAAAGGCCAACGAAGCAGCAACAAGATAATAACGGGAGATTATGGAAGGGGTGTCATTTTGGCTTAACTTTGCCCTCTTTAAGCAGATAGAAGAACTTTGGACAACAAATGCAGTATTGCCAGCAAATGCAAGAAAACAGCAGTCATGATGCTACCTTTCAGAGAAAGTGAAAGAGGATAGCATGACTCTGATGTAAGTTCTTGAGCGTCAGACCTCAAGGGATGCTGGCTGAAACACACAGAATGATAAAGTGAGATTTCGTATGTTGGAAGGAGTGTATATCCTCTCATGTTTCCAAGAAGAGAACTGCATAGGAGAACATACTCTAGAAGAGGCCCTGGAATGAGAAGTTTTAAGGAAATAGAATCTGCAAAGAGAAGGTGGGAAGAGTCTGACATAATGTTGCTTGGTGCTACAGTCAGCCACATCCTTATAGGATTTAGCTCTTGAATACTCCTACTGTGTAGTGACTCAGTGACAGTCAAGAATGGCCAGACGCTATGGCTGACTCCTATAATCTCAGTATTTTGGGAGGCCTAGGCAGGCAGATTATTTAATGTCAGAAGTTCAAGATCAGCCTGGGCAACATAGTGAGAATCTGTCTCTATAAAAAAGTTAAAAAAAAAAAAAATTAGCCAGGCATGGTGGCACACTCCTGTACTCTTGCAGTCATAGCTACTGATGAGACTGAGGTGGGAGTATCACTGGAGCTCAAGAATTTGAGGTTACAGTGAGCTATGATTGTGCCACAGCATGAGACTCTGTCTCAAAATAATAATAATAAGGTCAAACTCTTGATAACTAGAATTAGAAAAATCAACAGAAAACCCTGAGGAGCATTAGTGAGTTTGTATTCATTGAAAGTGAATATTTTCTTTATTAAATCTTGTTTCATATTTGCAAAGTCTTACAATTTAAAATATTTTAACATAGAAGACAATTTCATTTTATTTCCTATATGACTTTGTTCATTAGAATTTTGCAGTATTTGAATAGTTGACTAAATAAAATAAACAAAATCCATAAAAAAAAAACTGACCTTTTCAAAAGTAAAACTTGAAATAACATGTAATATTTCACCCTAGAAAGCAGAAGGAAGGTAGGGGAATTTTGTGGCTAACACAGATTGTGTTCTTCCCTTTTCCTTCCAGTTACTTGGTCTTATAATCAGCTAAAATGCCATCTCTTGCTAGACTGTAAACTCCTGAATAGCAGGGTTTAGGTAGTAATTTATCTGCTTTCATGATAAATTTCTGCCTCTAATTCACTATAACTGTTACATGGTAGATCTTGAAAAACTTTTTAACACATCTTAAAGTTATAAATTCATACTGTAATCAGGGAAGATAGTAGAGAATTTTAAACAAAAGTCTTTTTGTGGCTTGTGAGTCCACAAAAGTGTGATGCTTTATATATGTACAGACTAAAAAAAGTTTACTAGTCTTAAGGCTTTAGGGAAGTTACTTACTATGTTAATATGGGCCTCAGTTTTTCCTAATTATACCTACCTGTAGGACTGGTATAGTGTTAAGTTCTTTTTATTATAGTGTATGCTCAGTAAGTGATGGTTATTATTATTGATAGTCTTGCACTGATAAAACACATGGATTGACAAAATGTTTGTTCTGGGGAAGCAGAAAAAACAGATGTAAAGTTATTTGGATAAGTCAGTCAAAAAGAAAATAAAAGCTCACAAACTTCAGTCTTAAGGCAGTTAATTGCCATGAATACCCTTAAATGTTTAACATGTTGTTCCAAAAGCAGCAATAAAATAAAACTGAATGAACTTTTTTTTTATTAAACAAGACAAAAAGCCAAATTTGCAAGGGTTGCAAGTACCAAAATACTTCTCTGATTCCAGAGAGACTGCCTATGTGTCCAGACTCATATAAACTCAAAGTTGTGTTTTGATTTCTCAATATGGTAAAGTTCCATCTAATGTCATTCTCTTAACAAGCTCTTTTGTAATGGGAAGTTTGTGATTTAATAGCTTTAGAAATATAATGTGATACATGACTGTAAAAATGCTTGTTGATTCCCTACAAGCTAAGACAGCTCTATTGTAACTAAAACGGTAAAGTGAATTCCTCCTGGCAGAAGATGATATAGATGGAAAGAGGTGAGGAAATTGATTAAATATGGCTCTTTTCCTAAGCAGATGAATAACTCTATATTGCTCGTTCTGCATGCCTATAAAATAATACAATGAACAATGTTGACTTCATAATTGAGAACATACTCCCATTTTGCTAGGTATAGGCAAAAGAGAAAACACAAGCTAAAACCTCAATATCAAGGTAATGTTTATAGCACTATATTTTCACACTTCTTGATCAGTTTACCTTAACGTTTAATCTTTAGTTAGGTCAAACATTCTTTATTCATTATATTTTTGATGTAACCTTCCCTCCCACAAATGCTTTCTAAATTGTCACTTTCTCTTTTCTCTTTCACAGAGCAAGTTCCCTTAGAATAAAGACATTAACAAAAAAATTATATAAAGTACCAATTAAATTATTTCCTGAGATTTCCTGAAACATGTTGGAAATAGGCACCTGTATCATTGCCCAGTAGAAAATAACTAACTATTTGTGGGTTTTTAATGGCAGGCTTGTTAAAATACATTTAAGAGAAGTATATAAATTTCTTTTATTGTGTTCTTCCTTACTTCGCCATTTATTTAAAACCTTAATTACAGATAATTGAGAAGTACAGTGCTTGAACAAATCCATTATATATTATATCAAATAATAATGTTGTTTAGAAGTGGTGTTAATTCTTCATTCGAGCAGCTATGCCTATAAATAATAATCAGTTCTAAGCCCCAAGTTAATGACTATTTACTCATATGATTTGTAGAAGCCTAGAGAGATCCAACTGGGGAGGCATGAAAGCTTCACTGATGAGAAAGGTTTCTGCTGTATTGTGTTCCAAAATCCCGGTTAGCACAGTGCCAGACACTAAGTGCTCACATGTATGCTTTTTCCTAAGTAATTTATATGCATTATCTTATTTAACTATTGTGACAACTCAATGTTGTAGATATGAATAATATTTTCATTTTATTTATGGGAAAAACTGAAGGTCATGATTTACATCGTTTCCCTAAAGACATGTTGCCTATAAACAGGTAGAGGTGGGATTCCAAGTATCTCTGAATCTAAGCCTTGAAGTTGGCATTCTTAACATAGGCCAGTAGGATTCTTAGGCTGTAGTTTCATATTGTTTCCATCTCATCTAGGTGGGACCCTTTATGCCACTGCTTCATATCTCCTTGGATTAGTCATGTGTATTTAAAGCCATGATTTAATGGTTTCCTTGACTTGAACGAAATATATTTGCTGAAAAAATTGAATGTTTAATATTTTTCCCAATTCACAGGGATAATTAAACTACTAGATGAAAGCATTTTCAATCATAAACATTTGGTGCCAGCTAATAAATGCTACAATTTAACAAAATTAATGAACCAGCAACAGAAATACATTAATAGGAAACTTAGGATATGATGGCCTTGCTAAATCAGAAAGTTAGCTATTACTTGTTGATTCCAAAATGAATATTTGAAGATGTGATTTTATTGTGCATTTATACCTCATTCAGTGCTAGGAATGTTTAGAAACGGGAGCCATAATTGAATAAGCTACATGGGGGCATAGCCCATCTAGAACTATGTTCATTTGCTAAGATGGCAAATGTTCTTCCTTTGTCTTCCAAGCCTCTTAAATCAACTAAACTCCTGGGGCCATGCCTTCCCCCAGTCCCATTCCTATCCATTTTGAGTCAGTCCTTCCAGGCCACAGTGATTTTTATCATGCACTTCATAATTACAAAATTCTTCCCCCAATCCCCAAATACCTACTATGATTTGTCTTGAAAGCTTTTCAAGGCTTTATTAAACTTGTAGTTTTATATCCAGTGTGATACCCTTCCTTGGCATAATTCCCCAGCTATTTAGGTCAAAACTGTTGAAGAGAAATGAAAAAAAAAAAAAAAAAGAAATAGTGGAGAAAACAAACAGATGTGCCAGTCAAAACTAGGGAAATGCTGTGCAGTTTGAACTTTTAACTGTTAAGGACATTTGACAGGGCTCTCTTGCCTCTACTGGGGATAAGTCAGAAGAAAATTATATGTTAGCACCATTTTCCAGTAGTATACTGTATGGATGTATATGTATGTGTGTGTGTGTTTATGTGTGTATCCAGTAGAATGTGTGTATATATATACAAATATATATCCAGTATTATATATATATATAATATATATCTCCAGTAGTATGACGGATATCTATATAACATTATATATTATATATCATATATGATAAAAATATTATATATTATATATATTTTATTGTGCATTTATACTTCATTTAGTGCTAGGAATGTTTAGAAATGGGAGCCATAATTGAATAAGCTACATGGGGGCATATTATATAAAAATATTATATATTATATTTTTATATTTTATATATAATTATATATGTACACATATTATCCCACGATGACAAGTATTATAATGTATCAGTATTAGATAAGATTGGATAAAGAAAAACTGCAGGCTTTTATTTGGGAAAAAAATTTCATGTTTGATAGAATTATCTATACCAGTATCTTATAATGTTCCACTAAAACACCAATATTTACAAATCTTATTACCCTGAATAACTATAGGCTTACTAGATGACTGGATAACTTAACTAGTTGAATACTAGGTGCTTAATGAAACATGTTAAGATGCATTATAATAAGGGGTGTGTGTGTGTGTGTGTGTGTGTGTGTGTGTGTGTGTGTGTGTTGAGAAAGGAGGGGAATATAGTGAATGTGGGACCACTAGCTCTAGGGCTAGTGGGGAGGAGGAGGCTGCCAAAGGCACAGAGTCCAGTCTTTTGGTAGCATGGGAGTAAGAACTGGCAAGGATGGAGAAGACAAAGACAAAACATAACCAGCATTTCCTACGTTAACAATTTTACTCAAGACAAATCTTACATTCATTTGTTTTTCTTCCATTAGCTGATATAGATTTCACTTTAGGATCAACATTAGATTTGTATCAATACCCCATTATGTACTTTGAAATAACTTCTTATTAGTGTCTTAAACTTTTTCATGCTATCCACTGAGTCTAGACAAAAGATTTCATGTTCATTGTATCACTATGTCTCATATTCCAATGGAAAATAAATTAATGATGAGTAACACAGTGCACGTTCAAGTTATGAGTGTACGTATCTATTTAGCAATAAAGATATGGCTGATTTGTGTCAAAAGGCAGAGCAAACTGGTTGAAGTAAATGTTACCAAATCCTACATCAAAATTTTATTGATGAAGATACCTTACTCAAACTTGTTTAAACAAAAAGTGCATGACAAATTTAAGATGAAATTAAGCAAGCCTAATGTCTGATTATAAAGCAAGAATGGTGACATTTGAAAATGATAAGCAATGATAAGCAAGGCTGAGAATGAACTAATAAGCTGTCTTTCCTAAAATGTCAACCAATTGCCTATGTGATACATCCTGAGAGTTTTGAAAAACCACCAAATGTTAACTGGAGCCAAATTTTCTTAGAATACTGATTTAACATCGTAAGTGTATTTTAATAAACATTATAATTTTATTTCTGAATAACACCTTTTGGTAATCTTTATGAAGTAATATTTTAAGTTATTATTAATTAGCATTTAGGCAGAGTCAGACATCACAGTTGATGGGACTTCATATTATTCACCCATAAATACCACACAAGTCTAACAATCTGAGACTAGTTCATCGAGATGCTGTCAGTAGAATCATTGCTCTATAAACTTTTCTAATTTTTCTCCAGTTGGCAAAATTGCAGCTAGAATTTTAACACGAAGCCCAAATCTATGTAAGAAAACCATCAACTCTGATTTTCTTTATGGGTGTGATTTCCCTTAACAATGGAATCACTTATTCTGCCACATTTCACAGCCTAAATAAGGAAGGTAACTCGTGGTAGTTTAGTTGAGCTGGTCCGCTGTGGTCAGACATACTTTGGTATAACTGCCACCAAAATGATGAATGCATGGTATTATTATTTTCTTATCAAATCATGTCTAAAGATTTATGTTTAACCTTAGGAAATTGGCTGCTTGCCAAAACCTCTTGGTTGCTGCTAGAGATGTTGGTTAGCAGGTTTGTCTAAAGCAAACACAGGCCAAGGCAAATTTTCTTCCACCCACAGAGTTTCAGAGGGGTATATCCTGCCTTTTAACTGCCAGGTGAGGCAAGCAGCCAGACTCCAGTAGGCTTACTAAAGCAGACATATGAAAAAGTTCACCCACTCTGAGGCTAGAGTAATCATTAATCTTTCAACAGAAAATAAATACACAAGATGAGGAACTGGTAGCATTTCCCAGTCTGGATGAGGCTGCCAGATCCAGAGGGGTGAACTTGGCTACCCTCAGTAGAATATCCTCTTCCATATCTGGCTCCAGTGAGACCAAGGTGGGCACATGAACCAGAGATTTAGTCTCCTCTATTTCCTGTCTTTGTTCCAGGATTAATCTCTCTCTACTTCCTTTTAAACACACTGTATCTATCCTGAGGCCTTTCCTTTCTCCATTTTCACATCTATGTTTAAGAGATTTTAGAGAAACAGAGAACTGAGATGAACTTGATCACTTCTGACACCCACATTGATGCTATAATTTTGGAAGCAATTAAAAATATTTAATGACTAAGTTTTCTCCACCTTACAGCTCTACTTCAAGTTTTTCATGGCTTGCTAGAAACAAGTCAAGGTATAAAGATCTGTGATTTACTACTTCCCCAGGGCCTGTCTTCTTTATAGAAGTATGACTATTACAATATTCTAGTTAAGTCCAAAAACTATCTCTTTATCTAAATTAAATTATACATGACTCTGAGACTCCACTAAACAGAAAGGAGGAGTTTCAGTCGTGTGCATTATTGAGATTTTTTTCCCTCTCTAGAGAGTCTAGAGATCTTTAGAGTCTTTTATATCTAGAAAGAGTATTTGGTAAGTGGATCCTTTGGTCTTTGGTCCACCTGGTCACCTCTGTTAATATTTGTAGTCCCAGGCTGCATAATCCCTTAAGAAGTTGTCAATTCTCTGCCGTTTCTAAAACTTGAGCACTGAGATTCTTACTGAGGCTGACAGCCTTAGTGCCTAGCACACTAATATGTTGTTCCTAAATACACCACGCAGCCTTTTCCTCTTAGGTATGACTGCATGCCTGAAGCAAGGAAAATAAGAGTCCTCACTACTCCCAGATGCTCCAACTCTGACCTGGGTCCAATAAGGACCTATCTTATTCACAAATTCTATTCCTCCCTCTCCTCCTCTGGGCATAAACTCTCAACATTTAGGATTTAGAGAACAAAATCCAGGAAGAAGTCGAGCAACTTTCTCTTTCAGCCTATCACAACATATGCTCCAAAGACAAAGAAGCCCAAAGGCCTGGCTACCATCTGGGAATTTGCAAGTATGCAAATAAGAAGGACAAAACAGAAACTAATATCTCATATTAAACAATATTTCATCTCCAACCAAATAGAAACTTTTGATACTGGAATTCTACATAATGAAAACTCAATTTTTGAGTTATATGGAAACATTCATATCAACATTTTATACCAATTTATATTTGTATAGCTCTTTAATTGACATTATACTTTAACATGTTATCTCATTTAACGTCTCAACAAACTAGCACTACTCTTATCTCTATTCAAGCACAACTTTTACATATCATAAAGGCTATTTGCTAATTATAAATGGAACAGCCCATCCATCAGATGGACCTGAGTTAGAGTCCTGGTTTTACCATCTATTAGTCTGATTATCAAATCCAATTATGCTTTTCCTGTCTTTGACATTTGTCACTATTTTCCTTTACACACAAACATGGCTTCTTTAATGATTTATTTTTCATTTTAAATATACTTTTATCCCATTCGTATCATTAAAATTGAATGGAACCTGTGCTCATATTTAGGTATTTCATCAATTTCCATTGAATCATTATTGTCTCTGTATCTAATGTCTAACTCACCTTTTCTTAATTCTATATCCATAGGACATTTTCACCAATATTACTATTAAAGATAAACAGTAAAATGTAAACATGTAAAAATGACTTTATCCACTTATTTTCATCTTCTGCTAGATCCCAGACAAGTATACTAAAAGTTCTAGGCTTCCTCATGAGTGTCAGCAACATGAGTGCTTTTTCATTTTTCCATAATCTAATCATTATGAGGTTAAACCCATTCTTTCTTCCCTTTTCTTCTGTGCATTTATGGCCGTAACAGTTTCAGCTCAGCAATGAATGGCAAATAATCATATTTAGGAGTTTCATTTCCAAAATCAATCTTTTTCTAGGTTAAAGCATCCACATTATTAACATTGGCATGTCAAAATACCCTCGTCTATCCTGCAGTAAATTTCTTTAGTCCATAATTTTTGCAATGTAAAAACCACAGTTTTATTTACGCCATTTGAGGTTACACAAATCAATCCACAAAAAAATATGTTAAAGAAACATCGTAAGCCAAGAAAATCAACTGTCTTCATTCATCTAATCTGCTTCGATATTAAACACATATGGTATTGACTATATAGGTCGCCTATCATTTAGAGAACGGATAACACCCACATTCACAATTGCTTTAGACAGATGGTATTTTGTGTTGATCCAAATCCTTGTTTTGAAGAACTAATCAAATTGTTATGATCTTACAATGGTTATTCTATCCATTTCCAGTAAGCTAACTTCTGAATTCCTGTGCATGTGTGTGGCACCCAGTGATATCAGTGGAATGCTGACATATATAGTAAGGCATGAACAGGCATTACTTCATTTCAACATTTTATATGAGTCTGCTCCAATTAGGGGAAATTAGGGTTGTTGCTCTTCCTTCTTCACCATTGTTGATTTTTAAAAAATTGTGGCATATCTTTTTCAAAAGGTAAACAAAATAATACATTCTAAATGTAAATGAGAAGCTATTATCTGACATTCATTTATTGAGAAAACACATGCCATTTAAAGAGAATTTTTGTTTTGTTTTGTTTATATTACAGAATATCCACCAGTTTTAGCATCTTACTCTATTATTGTATCCATTATTTTATCATCTACTCATCAGAAAATTCATTTCTATATCAAGAAGTTCTGATAAGATGACCAAGAGAAACTCCAACCATTTCCTGGAATCATTAATCTGTGACACTGTACAAGAGAGTTGGTAAATATATGAGAAGTCCCACACATCAACAAGAAAAATGCAAACATCCCACTAGAAAAAATAGGCAAGAAATATGATTAGACTTTCACAAAAGAGGACATACATTTCAATACACATATAAAAAGTTTTCAACCTCATTAGTAATAAAAGTATAACATAATTAAAACCTCAATGAGTTATTTTAGATGCATCAGATTGGAAAAAAATTAAAAATCAAAGTACTAAGTGTTGGTAAACATGTGGATGAAGGGGAATACTCACATTGTCTGTTGGTAGAACTATAAGTTGTAATAGCCTTTGGAAAAGTGTGGCATTATCTAAACATTCATCCATATACCCTATGACCTACCAATTCACTTCTAAGTATACACACTAAAGAAATGGTTTTACATGTTTCTAATACCAAAAAAAATACTGAAAACAGCCTAAATGTTCATCGAAAGAAAAGTGGCTTTATGGACTTACGAATCTGGCATATAATCACCATGTTGGAAAAATAACAAAATATAGCTACTCTCAACAGTGTGAAAGAGTCTTCAAAACTTCATATTGATTGCAATAAAAACACATAGCTGAAAAACACTTAGATGATAATACTGCTATTATAAAGTACCAAACCAAGCAAAATCAAACTATTTAAGAACAATTTTTTAAACAAAACAATAAGAGTGATAAATATAAAATTCAAGATAGTGATACCCCTTGAAAGGAATGAGGAGGATGAGACAGAGAGAGAACACACAGGTAGATGTCACAGAACAGTGAAGGTTTTAGATCTTTAAGTGTGAAATAGGCTCACAGGTATATATGTTTTATGATTTATAGTATAATTTACTCATACTAAAACATTTGAATACATGAACAATAACAGAACTCAGAGCATCATTTTCCTTAGACTTTTTATAAAATATGATCAATAATAATCTTGGAGCAGACTTTCCCAGGCTCAACACTATTGACATTTTGGCTCAGATAATTTTTTGGGGTGTGGGGCTATCTTGTGCTTTGCAGGACATGTAGCAGCATCCCTAGCCTCTACCTGCTAGTTGCCAATAGAAAGCTCCCAGATGTGACAATCAAAAATGTCTCCAAATATAGAACATAAAAAACCTCAGTGTTGCCACTATTAGACGCACTCTAACATCTACACATTATATTTTATATTAGACATATTTTTAATTGTCACAATGTCTTTGTATTATACATGAAAAATGACTCAAAAGTCTGCAAATACCATGCACTTTTAATGCCCTACCATAGTTCTGACCCTGAAAAACATATATACTCCCTCACTCTTTCATAAACTTGCACAGATTATTTTATCAGGAATAGCTTCTGTCTCTGCTTAGGTTACTGCCGTCCTACATTGTTGCAGGAAGTCAGGGACCCTGAACAGAGGGACCGGCTGGAGCCACGGCAGAGGAACATAAATTGTGAAGATTTCATGGACATTTATCAGTTCCCAAATAATACTTTTATAATTTCTTATGCCTGTCTTTACTTTTATCTCTTAATCCTGTTATCTTGATATGCTGAGGATGTACATCACCTCAAGACCACTGTGATAATTGTGTTAACTGTACAAATTGATTGTAAAGCATGTGTGTTTGAACAATATGAAATCAGTGCACCTTGAAAAAGAACAGAATAACAGCAATTTTTAGGGAACAAGAGAAGATAACCACAAGGTCTGACTAACCGCGGGGTTGGGCAAAAAGAGCCATATTTTTCTTCTTGCAGAGAGCCTATAAACAGATGTGCAAGTAGGGAAGATATTGCTAAATTCTTTTCCTAGCAAGAAATATTATTATTAATACCCTGGGAAAGGAATGCATTCCTGGTGGGAGGTCTATAAATGGCTGCTCTGGGAATATCTGTCTTATGCGGTTGAGATAAGGACTGAGATACACGCCCTGGTATCCTGCAGTACCCTCAGGCTTACTAGGGTGGCGAAAAACTCCACCCTGGCAAATTTGTGGTCAGACTGGTTCTCTGCTCTTGAACCCTGTTTTCTGTTATTTAAGATATTTATCAAGACAATACATGCACTGCTGAACATAGAACCTTATCAGTAGTTCTGCTTTTGCCCTTTGCCTTGTGATCTTTGTTGGACCCTTATCAGTAGTTCTGCTTTTGCCCTTTGTCCTGTTCCCTCAGAAGCATGTGATCTTTGTTAGACTCTTATTAGTAGTTCTGCTTTTTGCCCTTTGAAGCATGTGATCTTTGTACCTACTCCTGTTCTTATACCCTCTCCCCTTTTGAAAACCTTAATAAAAACTTGCTGGCTTGGGGCTCAGGTGGGCATCACAGTCCTACCGATAGGTGATGTCACCCCTGGCGGCCCATCGGTAAAATTCCTCTCTTTATACTGTCTCTCTTTATTTCTCGGCCAGCCGACACTTATGGAAAATAGAAAGAACCTACGTTGAAATATTGGGGGTGGGTTCCCCCAATACTGCATAGTCTCTTTCCTCCTCCATACATCCATGTATAACTCCCTACAGTCCTCCACTTAGCAGTCATCCACACTCACAATTTTAGTCTCTTTCCTCCTCTATGCACCCACACATAACTCCCTACAGTCCTCCACTTTGTACTCATCCACATGCTTACAATTTTATACATATATACAAACAGATATAGATACATATATACACATACATTTGCACACTCATCCATCTGGTTTCTTCCAGTTAATTTCCTCAGGGCTAGTACCATGCTTTCTTCAATTTTATATTACCAAACCTTAGCTTAATATCTGGCCTCGGTGAGTAATCAATACATGCTTGTTGAATATATACGGATGAATAAATGAATGAATTAACTTTGGGGCTTTTAGGGACCTCAAAACAACTAACTAGGGTTAACTAAAAGGTTTTGGCATTATTTTTGTTCAAAAATTAACATTTTGTTTAAGATTTTCTTTTTATATTTTTGTAAGTTTATTTTCACATAGACAAAGTTGTCAATCCTAGTTCATAAGTCAAATAAAAAAATCTTCAGTGACTCATTGAAGAGCTATGTGTCTCTGTTAGGTCAAAATGTTTATATTTTTATTATGTAAATTTCCAAAAATATGCAAGAGTTGAGAGGCTAGTACTATGAATCTATACTCACCTATCATTCAAATCTAAATGTTATCAAGATTTTGCTCTAATTGCTTTCCCTATCCTTTTTAACTTTTTAAAAAATTTGCTGAATTATTAATTCAAAAGCCCATTTATCTGAAGTATTTCATTGCTGCATACTTAAGTATGTAATGCTAAAATAATTTAATATGTTAAGAATATATTCTCATAGTTACATATTTAAAATAAGAAATATGTATAATGAGTTGTTTACAGCATGTGTTTACCCTAAATTCATGTACATTGTACATGGATTTTCACCTTTTTATATTTTTACATTTCATGACCAAAGTAACAATTACTGATTTTCTATTTAAAAATTGGTATACAAAATCCATACTATCTTCTAAAATTTCAACAGTAATCTTAAATCAGGATTTTCAAACTTCAAATAGTAAGCAATGGAAAAATGAGTCCTCATAGAAAAGTTGAAACCAAATGACTTGAAATGAGGTAGCACTCGTATTCCTCCAGGCCTTTGGGTAAAGATACGTGCACGCAATACTGCTTTCGATTTCTACATAGAGCTAAGACAATCTTTCTGACCGTTCTAGAGATGTAGACACATTCAACAAAATTGGAGAGGAAAAGATGATAGGGGCAGTTTTTTTTAACCCAGTGTACAAAAGAGTATGTCAACAGTTTCCAAATGTAGTAATGTAATATCAAAAGAAGAAAAAGTCTCCTTTGAATTTTTCTTTTCAATTACAGAACATTTACTTTATAACAAGATTACTAACACTTTAAAGACATGTGCTTCTCTCTGGGTGCGGTGGCTCACTACTGTAATCCCAGCACTTTGGGAGGCCGAGGTGGGCAGATCACGAGGTCAGGAGATGGAGACCATCTTGGCTAACACGGTGAAACCCCGTCTCTACTAAAAATAGGAAAAAATTAGCCTGGCGTGGTGGCGGGCGCCTGTAGTCCCAGCTACTAGGGAGGTAGAGGCAGGAGAATGGCGTGAACCCGGGAGGCGGAGCTTGCAGTGAGCCAAGATCAGACCACTGTACTCCAGCCTGGGTGACAGAGCGAGACTCCGTCTCAAAATAAATAAATAAATAAATAAAAATGGAAAAAAAAAAGACTTGTGCTTTTCATAGAAACAATTCCATTTAATAGAAACAATTTAACTATAAGTGCAGGAATTATTCATTATAGAGAATAGGTGCAGTCTTGAATTTCATTAAGTACTGCTTTTCTTACTATTATTTATTGTAGACCAAAAATGCATTTTACCCAAAAATAAAAAATAAAAATTCGCCCTGACCTGAGATATAGAAGTAAATCCATCTAATGCTAGCTTGCTTTCTGCATCAAAAAGTTGAAGTGTCCCAGACGTCACCAGTACATAATATATGCATGTAACACAACTGCACTTGTGCCGCTAAATCTATTTTTTAAATGTTGAAGTGAATTGATGTGTTACTTTTTTCTTTTTTCTCTCTCCCATTTAAATAGGCTTAAAAAATAAAGCACATGGTAGAAGTCACAGCATTTAATTGTCTCACCATAAAGATAAAAGCATGTGTTTTATTAGATAAAATTGTCACATCCTGGATTATTCCTACTCTCTATGCTATTCATCTACGACTTTCTCCCACTAGAGGCAAACGTATTTTCCATGTCTACAATGAGGCTTAAAGAAGTTGAGGTAAAGTGTGATTGCGATTTGCCCATCTCTTGTTACAAATCAGCAAATCAATAGACTCCTAATATTTGGAGAAAAAAGGTACCTAGAAATGCTCCAGCTTAATTCTTTCTAACAATTGGATCTGTCTGGCATCTTCATGATGCCTTCTAATTTTTTTCTCTGAACATACTAATTTATTTTATACTTTAGCAAATTCTATTTGCTGTTCCTTGATTCAAATTCATGCTCGGTAGCATGGGTCAGCTCATTATTATCCTCTCATCCATGGACATTTAAGAACTAAGAATGTGGAGACCTTACTAAGGAATTTCCACACAGAGAGGGTCTATGTCATACCTCCAGCATTTTCTCTGACAACCTCTTTTTCAAACTGTATACTTTTTAACTTCTGTTTTTGCTCCATATAATTGCCCTTAATCCAAATTCTAATAAATGAGAAAGCACTAACTGCATTTTCTCTGTTCTCTTTCCAGTATAACAGGAAATGTTCATAAACATTTATATGTTTACATTATATGTTTATGAACATGTTATACGTTTTTATATGTTCAGAAACTTACTGATTTTCATGTAGGTAACATGAAATTGTTTTTTAAAAAGGACATTCTCCCTCCACTGCCTGCACTTACCTTCGCTTTTTGAGATAACTATTGATAATACTTTAGCATATATCTTTGGAAAATATGCTTTCCAGGTTGCCAACGACTTTGCATAGATATTACATATGTCCATGCAAATAACCTGTATTATCAACACTAAATGCCTACTGCTAGTATTAGTCATTCATTCAATAGCTATATATGGAGCCCCTTATTAAATGCCAGGTCGTTTTAAGAGTCATAATACATTAGTGAACAAAACAGACAATGATTCATGCTATCATGTATGTTACATTTCGTGAGAAAATTGTGTTTAGAAAAAGACCTAGACATTGAGGGGCCAGGGAACAAGTTGTCAATTTTAATGACTATATCTTGTTTAATATAGTATAAACAGTGGAAGCATTTGTAGGTACAAGTAGCAGGCATGCCATAATGGTGTAGATTGCCATCTGGGGATCTCAAGTAAATTATTATAAGATGCAAATTTATAATCTGACTTAGGAATTAGTTTACTGCTACAGCTTGAATGTTTGTGTCCTCTCCAAAACTTACGTTGAAACTTAATCCCCAGTGAAACAGTATTAAGAGGTCTGGTCATTGGGAGGTCATTAGGTCATGAGGGTTCTGCCCTCATGAAAGGATTCGAGCCTTACAAAAGGGCTGGAGGAGACAAGTCAGGCCCTTTCTGGCCCTTTTACCTTTCCATCCTCACCTTGGACTTGTGAGGACACAGTGTTCAAGGCACCATCTCAGAAGCAAAGACTAGGATCTTACCAGACACCAAACCTGCCAGAGTTTGATCTTTGACTTCCAGCCTCCAGAACTAAGAAACAAATTCATGTTCTTTATAAATTACCCAGTCTCAGGTATTTTGTTATAGCAGCATAAACCAATTAAGACATTTACAGAGTTTATAAATTACTGAATAAATGTAAGGAATATAATATATTGAAGATCAAAAGTCTTATGTCAAAGTATTTTATTTGAAAATGAATATTCTTTTTATTACTAAATTTATGTAACAAGTATGTTTATAATATTTCTTCAATTAAATGCTTTGGCATTAAAATGAACCTTACTAATTTTTACTGTACAGATAAAAGGAATTTATATGAATCTATAAAAATATATAAAATAAAAATTATTACTATTATGCTTATTAAAAATAAGTATCAACATAAATATTGATCAATAATTCAAACTAATTAACAAAGCACATCAAAATAGGATTTTATTTTAATCAATGCTCTTATTATGGTAAAACAACTAAAATTAATTTATAAACGTTTCAGTGTTCATTATTTCCAATGTAAAAATATTAAAGGAAAACCAGTTGCCAAAGATCTTTTCATTAATATTTTAAACTAATATTAGTTATTTGAAACAAAGCATTAGTTAATATTTGACAAGGTATTCAAAAAATCATTTCACAGGTTTTTATAAATTAAAACAATGAATTTAACTCTATATTATGTCAGTAAAGATGCTAACAATTACACAAAGAAAATATATTCCTCCTTCCTACCGATTCTTTAGAAGAATGAGATTACTATTATCAGCAGCTTATGTCTCGACTTCAGCCTAACAGCAAGCTAGCTCAATGTGCATCCCTCTAAGAATTGCTCTAAGAATTATACTTGGAAGAAGGTAGGAAGCAAACTTCAGTTTTATTCCTAGGTATAGGACATTAGCACTTTGTCCAAAATGTACACAATAGGCTTCCAAAATATTTAGCTTCTCATTTGCACATATGCCCAAGAAAGGCTGTAAAACCCAGTACAATGGCTTTTCTATTTGAACATGATCCAGAAGGATAAATGTTCCTTCTGTGTACCCAGGTTATAGGAAACATTTGAGGACCTTTTCCAATTAAGTTATCCATTGATTTGTTGTGTAACATATATTCCTAATAATAGCTTTCATAATATTTGTAATTTAACAATCTGGGAGAGGAGATACAATGTAGTAAACAATTTCAGTAAATGGTGGGGCAAAGCCTTGAGATAACTAGAGATGTATATATATTTTTTAAAGACAAAGATTGGAAGAAATCACCAAAGATGCCATGTTCTGCCACATTGCTGTGAGCAATGATTCAAATAATTATGTATGTGAAAAACATACCAGCCTTGATTTTTCAAAATGCACATTTTTCATATTGTTTGAATTTACAGGAACTGGCACCAAGGTTTTACTGAATAATTTTGTGGTCTACTGTGCTACTGGTATTTGGTTTCAAAAGACAAATACAGGGGTGCTTAAAGAGCATTTATTTAGTAATTTCTCTTTAAAATTTAAACTGTGTCATTTCAGGAGGAAAACAGAAATAAACATCCATTTTTCAAAAAGTACAGTTGTCAAATTATGAAGGAAGAAGAAAATAATAGACCTATTAATATCAGTAAAGATGTATTCCAGATGCATTTTTAAAATTATGGTTACATTTCAGATATGAACCAACTATTTTAGTATATTTTAATAAAAATATGGCTAAGAAGCAATGCTACAATGACAAACCACAATAAAATGAGATAATAAAACTACTTTAACAACCTAATATTGAAAGATTAAAACTCCTACCTTAAGTGTTATTAGGAATAACTAATAGTGTGTCATGTCACTACAAAAATCAAATTTTTAACAAATACAAATATTTTAGTGAAAAAAGAAATACAATATAAATCAAATATAAGATTTAAATTTGGCTCCCCTTTTTGCTTTCCCTAAATGGCTAACTCTAGCTAACTCATCAATTGAAAATGATGTTTTTTGACCTTTTTCAGTCCATACATTTCAAATAGAGTATAATTTTAACCAGCTACATTGTTGGCTGAAGATTAAAAACCATTTTGGTGTTGTGTTAATTATAAATAAAGCACCAATAATTGGTGCTCATCTTTGACTGGATCAATTTTGATGTAGCAGGAACAGTATTGGACTTGGAGCTGAGAACAAGTCCAAATCTTTGCTAGGACAGTTGCTAACTGCAGGAGTTCAACAAAGCTACCTGCTTGAGCCTTGGTTTCTTCTCCCATAGAAGGATAGCTTTAACAAATGGTATTTGACAAGATTGAAAGGTGATATATACAAGGCTCCAGCATTGTGCAACCATAAAAAGTCATGGAATGGAAGTCATCTTAAATGTTTTGTTATATCCATATTTGTTTTAATATTCTAAGTATTATTACTGTCAGGAAATAACACTTTTAAAACAGGAGAAAAAATAGTAGTGTCAGACATCTCACAGAAGAAGGTATTCAGATGACAAATGAGCAAACGAAAAGATGCTCAATATCATCTGTCACTAGGGAAATGCAAACTGAAGCAATAGGATACTGCTACACACCTCTTAGAATGGCCAAAATCCAGAGTACTGACAATATCAAATGCTGGTGAGGATGTGAAGCAACAGGAACTCTAATTCATTGTCGGTGGGAAGGCAAAATGAGACAGCCACTTTGGATGACAATTTGGCAGTTCCTTACAAAACTAAACACATTCTTACCGTACAATCCAGCAATTGCACTCCTTGGTATTTACACAAAGGAACTGAAAATGTATATCCACACAAAACCCTGCACACTGATGTTTATAGGTGTATTCAGAATTGCTAAAACTTGGAAACAATCAAAATATCCTTCAGTAGATGAGTGGATAAAATAACTATGCTGCATCCTGACAATAGAATGTTACCAAACAACAGCAACAACAACAAACCTATCAAGGCATGAAAACACATGGAGGAATCTTAAGTGCATGTGAAAGAAGCCAATCTGAAAAGGCTACACACTGTATGATTCCAACTATATGGCATTTTGGGAAAGGCAAAACAAAGAACACAATAAAAAGATCTATAGTTGCCAGGGACTAGTGGTGGGCGGGCTGGGGATGAATAAATGGACAAAAGAGGACGTTTAGGGAAGTGAAAATACTCTATATGACACTAACACAATGGATATATGTCATCATGCATTTGTCCAAACTCACCGAATATACACCAGCAAGAGTAAACCCTAATGTAAACTATGAACTTTGGGTGTCATTGATGTGTCAATGTAGGTTCATCAGTTTTAACAAATGTACAACTCTGGTGAAGAATATTGATAAGACGGGAGGCTACGCATGTGTAGGGGCGGGGAGTATATGAGAAATCTCCATATCTTCCTCTTAATTTTGCTGTGAACCTAAAACTGCTCAAAACAAAACAGTTGTTTTATAAAAACATAGTGGTGTCTTGTCCAGCTCATTTAACTGCTTTTCATGATGAAAACTGATAATGCTAATTATTCTTATCCATAGAAATTCAGAGAAATTTTGTGTGATTATATAGAATTTATTATTGCCTTGTGGATAGATATGTTTTGCATCTATTTGTAAATTCATTTCAAAATTCCTTATTTCCTATGCATGTGTGGTTCTTAGAATTCTCCTTTGAACTGATTATATCATCTTACTAGCTTTCTCTTTAGTAAGCTAAATAAATTTTGATAAATGTTTACTTAATATTTATATGAGATGATATTTTAGTCTTAAAAATCCTTTAAAAATAGTCTCCATTTTTAATAAACTGTGTGATCTAGGTGCCAATGAACTTTGCCATCAGAAAATAATTTTTCAGAAGATTGCTTTGAGTATAGGTTATCATACTTATCATACTTTTTAAACTTTCATGCTAAATATCTTTATAAAGTACGTAACAGATTTTCAAACATATGGATTGGGGTAAACTTATTTTGTCAATTATATAACACTGCTTTCCAAAGCATAGTTTAAAAAAATCATAAACTATGATTCAATTTCCTGGAATTTACTAATTTAGAAATCCTGAAGACATTATAATATGTGATCATGGAAATGTTAGTGCCCTTTTTTTGCATCCATTAATAGTGCTAAGAAAGTACAAATGTTCTAACAGGATTTAAAAAACCAACAGGTTTTCAGGAATTTGTATTTATCAAATTGTGCACAATATTGCCAATGTGAAAATAAGTTAATGAGTTGAGAATTAGTCACGGTTTTTCAACATGAAGGATATGAAAACGCACCTTGATCTCTATAATCATCTGTTTTAAGTGAGATTTAATTTTCCACAAAATAATACTTGAGTTTATTCAAGTAAAAAATTATTCATCTTTCTATTCTCCATGTGCGATAAAATGTTTCCCATAGGGTTCTCCTGATTGCCTTAGAAATCTGACTACCTATCTTCCTTCCAAAATAATTTCACTGTAGACTTTTCAGGTTTTTGCAAACACTTCAATTTTCTCTTTCCTGTTTTTTGCCTGCCTCCTAATCCCTAATCATATTCTTTCCTCTGGCAGAAAACTTTGTTCTTAACACCCTGCCCTCAAGGAATCAATGGCTGCTTTGAGTTAAGCTGCTTTTTTTAAGCATCTGCCCTTTTCAGGAGTGCCCTATTACATAATCTCATGCGCTCTCATAGTAACCAGCTGATAGCATTTTCAATTCACTTTGAAAATTGTATGTCAATCTTACCTGTAGCTGCATGATGACAAACTGACTTTAAAAGTTAGTCTATTCATTTGAAGTAAGTATTTCAACAATATGCTAATGAAAATGATATTTTAAGATATCCTTTTACTCACATCAATAGCATCACTAATTTTATAGTTAACACATAGAAATCTTGAAAATCAGACTTTTTAGCTTAGATGAGTGTGAAAGTATACTACATAATATCTAAAGATTGAGTTTTCAAAGAGTTTTTGGCCACAGAAGCCCTTTTGAAAGAAAATCAGACACGAAATCCCCACTAAATTCACTATTGATTTGGAGGGCGCATGTATTCAATGGCTTATATCAGATTCTTATGTACACAATATGTAAAATACAATGCCAAAAGATAACCCAGCATATTCATAAGTCTGACATTTTAGTTCAATTGGATACGTATATTTGAAATGAAAACCTTTCAAAGGAAACATTTGAAAAGGATTTCTATTTTTTTAAATCTAAAAGCACAGAGTTTTCTTAACCTTAATTTAAAATGGAAAACTTTACCTTGAAGGATGATTTTTGGTTACAGAGATACTTTTGCATTTTTTTGTGATTTTTTTCAGTTGAGAGTTTCAACTTGAAAATAGAAAAAGGCCTGATATTTTCCAAAACTGACTATAAACTGCATTTGTATAATGTAATTGAGAGTCAATATCTTTTCCCACCTTGCTCTGGCTCCTGCCAAGAGGCACTCAGAATCCCAGATATACTTTCAGGGCTACAGGTAGTGGCAGCCATAGGAAGGCTTTCTGAACTTCCTTTTTATTTATTTATTTATTTATTTATTTATTTATTTATTTATTTTCAGTTGTATGTGTGATGGAACCACTATATCAAGAGCGCTATCTTCTAAAGTAATATCCTCCCCTAGCTATTCCCTGAAATTGGCAGACATGGACAGTTAAAGCAGGATATCTTTATCCCAGAGAAACTTTCTTAGACAGCCTGTTCCTCTGTGGCAGAGGAAATTTGGTTTTAACTGAACCTGGCTTCTAAGACCTTTACAAGTGGCTGTTTGCAAATTATTCCAGGGAAATAAGTCTTTAAGTCCTAGCCTGGGCTTTTTAGTAGCGCGAAGAAGAATCATATCCAATCTATCTCCAAAAAAGGAGAGAGAGGTAAGAGTTATTGTGCAGATACTGAAAAATCTCATCAGAATCCCAAGAGGAAACAAAATAAAGCTACCTTCAGTGGCACAGGGAAGTCATCTGAAACAGACCAGTTGCCTTCAAGGATGTTGTTGTATCCTCTCAGCTCTATTCTCCTTTCTACTACCGACTCCCTTGTTTACTCATAATTTTCACTGTCTCATAATTTTGGCTGAATCCATTTACTCATTCACTTCATTGTTCCAGTGTCTACTGTAGACAGGCATGCTCTGTTTCTGCCTCTCAGTTCAGATTCCTGAGACTCAGGATCTGATCATTGGCCAGCCTGTGGATTGAGTAAACTATGCAATCAAGAAGGTTATCACAGATACAGCGTTGATCAACACAGACAAACTCTCTGGCCTCATGCAGCTTATGGTGTCATGATTATCACCTGTAATAGAACATGGTCACTTAAAGGCAGAAGGACTGTGGCTATGAATCAGCTAGAGAAATAGCATTCAACAAAATACATTTCTCTGTAGCTTATTATTTTGCCATTGCTTTACCTCTGCCACTACTGTTAGTATTATTGCTTTTATTGTTCTGATGACCTTTTATACTCAAATGCTGCTACTTTTAACCAGACATACTCCATGTTAATGCCTCTCACAGGTGGTCTCTGGACCAGCAACAGCAGCAGCAGCAGCAGCAGCTAGGGATTTATTAGAAATGCAAGTTTTAGAGTTTTATCCCAGACCTACTTAATCAGAAACTTTGGAGTGGGGCCCAGCATGCTGGGTTGTATCAATATTCTGATGCATGCCAAAGGTGAGAGCCCCTGCTCTTATGCCTTCAATCCAAATATGTTAGTCTGCCTTTATTCCACCTGCCTCCTAGAAACTTAAATGAGTTATTTTTTAAATTTTTCATAAATATTGAGTCATATGAAAATATATGGCTGTTAAAAATGATTCTCTCCTCTCCATTTAGCCTTCCTTTCTCTAAACTTAGACTCTTTCCATTAATCTTCCTCCTGCCCATAGGAGTCAAAGCTGTTGATCCACTCCAATTTAATACCTGTCTGAAATGGTGCCTACAATTCACTTCACCAAAAAATAAATATAATTAATCAATTTTAAATTTTATATGAAAACATTTCAACTAAATTGACCATTTCTCCATTTCTCAGCCAGTTCAACTGATTGTGCATGCAGATAGTTGCCAAATAAGAGCTGTCAAACTTCCTAGAATTCCATATAGAAGCCGATAATGGAAATGTAATAAAATAGAGGATTAAAATATTGTATCCAAATGGGCAGTGAACTCACTTTCTCTAAAAAGCCATTATTTTACATAGTCTTTAGAAATATATTTTGCAAATAAAATCATTTTTTAATATTAAGCATAATTTGCAGGACAACTGTTCTGCAAGAAATTAAAAACATGAAACCCTGTCCCTATTAAAAACACAAAAATTAGCCAGGCTTGGTAGCACGTGCCTGTTAGCCCAGCTACTCAGGAGGCTGAGACAGGAGAATCACTTGAACTTGGGAGGTTGAAGGTTGCAGTGAACTGAGATCATGTCATTGCACTCCAGCCAAGGTGACAGAGTGAGAGTCTGTATCAAAAAAGAAAAAAAAAATCTTGAAAACACATTCCTTGAATGCCATGGCCAAGTTTTACTGTGTCAGTGTTCTCTATTTTGTACTGTTGTTAGTATATTTTAAAAAGTTTTCCATCAATACATAACCCTAATCTTTACTAAAATATTTTAGTAAACATTTTGCTCTTTAGTCACTGTTGTTGCTAACAGTTAAATTAATCATTTACACAATCACTCTTTCTCCCAATTAGCTGTCAGATACATGGGAGTAGAAACTTATCTGTTTTTTTAACTTCTATAACTTTAACACCTGACTTGGTATCTGACTTACATTTGTTGTTCAAAATATGTGTTCAGGAATGTTGTAATAGGAAAGATGACAATTACATGGTTGGCTAAAAAAAGGATACAAATAATTTTTTAAAGAAGAAAGTAATGATGGGTTTTAAAAGTTTTATGGAAGGAGATAGAGACATGAAAAACCCTCCAAAAAATCAGTGAATCCAGGTGCTGGTTTTTTGAAAAAATTAACAAAATAGGTAGACCACTAGCCAGACTAATAAAGAAGAAAAGAGAGAAGAATCAAACAGACACAATAAAAAATGATAAAGGGGATATCACCACTGATCCCACAGAAATACAAACTACCATCAGAGAATACTATAAACACCTCTATGCAAATAAACTAGAAAATCTAGAATAAATGGATAAATTCCTAGACACATACACCGTCCCAAGACTAAACCAAGAAGAAGTTGAAGATAAAGAAAGATAAAGAAAATGCGGTACATATACACCATGGAATACTATGCAGCCATAAAAAACAATGAGATCATGTTCTTTGCAGGGACACGGATGAAGCTAGAAGCCATCATCCTAGCAAACTAACACAGAAACAGAAAACCAAACACTGCATGTTCTCACTCATAAGTAGGAGTTGAACAATGAGAACACGTGGACACAGGGAGGGGAACAACACACACCAGGGCCTATTGAGGGATGGGGAACAAGGGGAGGGAACTTGGAGGATGGGTCAATAGGTGCAAGAAACCACCATGGCACACGTATACCTATGGAACAAACCTGCACATTCTGCACATATATCCTGGAACTTAAAAACCAGAACTTAAAAAGAAAATAAAAAGTATTATGCATTCAGAATATATCCTTGAATTAATAGCAAATGTATGAAGATTTAATGTGCTTTCTGATCTTTTATCAATTTGTAGATGGAGTATTCAGAACATATATTTAATATACAAACTTAAAAATTGTTTTTTAGAAGGGACTTGAGGGTGTTTCTGCTACAGCTTCCTTGACCAAAGGCTACAGAATAACTACATTGTCCAGAAAAAACAGCTATACGTGTTTTTTCCAGTTTCTAAGGGTGAAAATTTTATGACCTTCTTTGGAATTCTTGCATTTTATCTTATTGGCAAAGGAGTTCCTACTTTTGCCATCACAAGACAGCTTCTTAATTTATTTCTTTTAAAAAGTCCTTTTAATAGAATTGTAAATCTTACCATCATTCAATTTTACAACACATATAAAAATTGTATATAATTTATACACTTCCTTACTTACCAATGTTTCCACTCTTTTTTTTTTTTTTTTTTTGAGATGGAGTCTCACTCTGTTGCCCAGGCTGGAGTGCAGTGGCACTATGTGGGCTCACTGCCAATCTCCGCCTCCTGGGTTCATGCCATTCTCCTGCCTCAGCCTCCTGAGTAGCTGTGACTACAGGCGGCCGTCACCACACCTGGCTATTTTTTTTTTTTTTTTGTACTTTTAGTAGAGACGGGGTTTTACCGTGCTGGTCAGGATTGTCTCGATCTCCTGACCTTGTGATCTGCCTGCTTCGGCCTCCCAGAGTGCTGGGATTACAGGCGTGAGCCACTGCACCCAGCCCAATGTTTCCATTCTTTTGCACTAAACATATCAAACTCTTTTAACCCTTTCTCGTATGCTGTTATTGCAACCTTATAATCAATGATTGACTCTTGGATTTGCTCATGTTTTCTATTTTCATATGTGAGATTACTATTTCAGAGTAGTTCACATATTTTAACTCTTGGCCCCATTATCATATACAATTTTTAATATGACCTAATATGGTATTTGGCTTTTTTTCCCTCCAAGAGTAGTGAAATACTTGTTTACTTTCAGCCTGTAGGTCCAAAACAATCTCATGCCATGAAACCTAAACGGTAATCTCCTAGTCTATGTTGTTGGTGTTATTTGTCCCAACATACTTACGTTTTCTAAATTTTAACATGTTTTGAAAAATTACTTTTCCCCTTAAGAACATAATCTGGAAGCTAAAGAATGATATCCACCAACATGAAACCACATGAAAGTTTAAAACCCACTGCCAGAGCAAACACACAAATAAGAAATAGAAAGGACTCAAATATTACCACTACATGAAACCACCAAACCGCAATGATAAGAAGAGAGAAAGAAGGAACAAAGGACATATAAATCAACCAAAAATCAATTCATAAAATGACAAGAATAAACCCTCACATATCAGTAATAAGCTTTAATGTAAACATACAAGTTTTCCACCTAAAATATATAAATTGTATGAGTGAAAGAAGAACGACTGCCTTCAAGCAATTTACTTCATCTCTCCAGATACACATAGACAAAAAGCAAAAGGATAGAAACAGAAATTCCATACAAACAGAAACAAGAAGCAAACAAGGGTAGCTTTGCTTACTCAGATAAAGCAGACTTTACGTCAGAAACAGTAAAAATAGATGAAGAAAGCCATTATATAGTGACAAAGGAATCAATTCAGCTAGAGGATGTAACAATCCTAAACGTATATGTGCCCAACGGTAGAACACCTAGATATATAAAACAAATATTAGATGAAGGGAGAGATAGACTCTAATACAATAAACTTTGGGGACTTCAACACCTCACTCTCAACCTTAGACAGACTATTTAGACAGAAAATTAACAATTAACTTTGGATTAAAACTGTACTTTTAACCAAATGAACCAAACCGACATTCACAGATATTTCATCCAACAGCTACAAAATATACATTCTTCCTATCAGCACATGAAACATTCCACAGGATAGGCCATATGTTAGAACACAGAGCAAGTTTCAACAAATTTTCTTAAAATTGGAATCATATCAAGTATCTTCTGAGATCAAAATGGAATAACACCAGAAGTCAGTAACAAGAAGAACTTTGCAAGTTTTACAAATACATGGAAATTAAACGACATGCTCCTGAATGACCATTGAGTCAAAGAAAAAACTTAAAAAATTTTTTTAAATATTATTGAAGCAAATGGATCCTGAAACATAATATACAAAAACCTGTGGGATAAAGCAAAACCAGTGCTGAGAGCAGTTTATAACAATAAAAGTCTACATCAAAAAAGTACAACGATTTTGAATAAACAATCTAACAATGCACCTCAAAGAACTAAAAAAGCAATATTAAACCAAACCTCAAATTAGAAGGAAAGAAATAATAAAGATCAGAGCAGAACTAAACAAAATAGAGAGTAAAATATACAAAGAAAATAAAAAGTTGTTTTTTGAAAGGATAAACAAAATTGATAAACTGCTAGTCTAATCAAGAAAAAAAAACTCCAATAAATAAAATAGACAACAATAAAGTTACACTGCAACTTATACAACTGAAATACAGAAGATCATAAGGGATTATTATGAGCAACTATATACTAACAAACTGGAAACCTAGAAGAAATAGATAAATTCCTGGATACATACAATCTACCAAGATTGAATCAGGATGAAACAGTAAATCTGAAAAGACCAATAAAGAGCAGTAAGACTGAATAAGTAATAAAACATCTGCCAACAAAGAAAAGTTGAGGACTTAATGGCTCCACTGCCAAATTCTATCAAATGGGTAAAGAACTAACCCATATTTCCCTAAACTATTCTGAAACATTGAAGAGGAAGGTATTCTCCCTAACTCATTCTAAGAGGCCAACATCACCCTGATAACAAAACCAGCAAAGAGTCGACAACAACAAAAATCCGTAGGCCAATATTCCTGATGAACGTAGATACAAAAACTCTCAACAAAACACTAGAAAAATGAATCCAGCAGCAAATAAAAAATATAGTACACCATGATCAAACATGATTTATCCCAAGGATGCAAGGATGGATTAACATATGCAAACCAATAATCATAATACATAACATCGGTAGAATGAAGCACAAAAGCCATGCTCATCTCAGTAGACACAGCAGAAGCATTTAATAAGATTCAACATTTCTTTGTGATAAATACTCTCAAAAACTAAGCAAAGAAGAAATATGCCTCAACATAATAAAGTCACATCATGACAAATCCACAGCTAATATCTTACAGAATGAGAAAAAAGCTGAAAACCTTTTTCTCTAAGAACTGGAACAAGGCAAGGATGCCCTCTTTTACTCTTCCTAGTCAACATAGTACTAAAAGTCCTAGTCAGAGCAATAGACAAGAGGACAAAAAGAACAACAAAAGGGATCTAGATTGGAAAAAAGGAAGTCACGTTATTCTTCTTTGCTGTTGATATGATCTTATATCTAGAATAACCTAATATTTCACCAAAAAACCTCCTAGATCTGAAAAATGAATTCAGTAAAATTGCAAGATATGAAATTAACAAACTATTATTAAAGTAGTAGCATTTCTATATACCAATAATGAGCTAACTGTGGGAGAAATCAAGAAGGCAATCCAATTTGCAATAGCTACAAAAAAAAAAAAATCTTATAAATAAATTTAACCTAAGGGGTAAAAGATCTCTACAAGGAAAATTACAAAACACTGATGAAAGAAATTGAAGAGGATACAAACAAATGGAAAGATATCCCAAGCTCATTGATAACACACTCAAGAACATACTCATCCCATAGACAAGACAATATAAAGCAATTACATAATTAAGTCCACAAAACAACCAGCTAACAACAAAATGACAGGATCAAAATTTCACATATCAATACTAAAATATTAAATGGTCTAAAAGCTCCACTTAAAAGGTATAGAGTGGCAAACTGGATTAAAAAACAAGACCCAACTCTCTACTATCTTCAAGAGACCCATCTCACATGTAACAATACCCACAAGCTCAAAGTAAAGGGACAGAGAAAGATATACCAGATAAACAGAAAACAAAAGAGAGCAAGAGTCATTATTCTTATAACAGATAAAGTAGATGTTAACCAACAACAATAAGAAATAACAAAAAAGGTCATTGCATAACAATTAAGGATTCAATAAACACGAATACATAACTCTTCTAAACGTATATCCACCCACGATCGGAGCACTGAGATTCATAAAACAAGTTCTCCTTGACTATGACAGCCACACAATAATAGTGGGAGACTTCAACACCCCAGTGACAGCGTTAAACAGATCATAGAGACAGAAAACTAACAAAGACATTCTGGACTTAAACTCAATGCTTGACACACTGGACCTAAAAGACATCTACAGAATACTCCACCTAACAACCACAGAGTATAAATTATTCTCACCCATACATGGAACATATTCTAAGATCAACCACATTCTTGGTCAAGAAGCAAGTCTTAATAAAATCAAAAAATCAAAACCATAGCAAGCATACTCTTGGACAACAGTGCAATAAAAATAGAAAACAATACAAAAAGATTTTTCACAACTACACAAAAACATGGAAACTTAAAAATTTACTCCTGAATAAATCTTGGGTCAACAAGAAAACTAAGGCAGAAATCAAAAAATTCTTTGAAATTAATAAAAATAAAGACACAGCTTACCAATATATTTGGGATGCAGCTAACGCAGCGTTAAGAAGAAAGTTCATAGTGCAAAATACCTTCATCAAGAAGTTAGAGGCCGGGCGCGGTGGCTCACGCCTGTAATCCCAGCACTTTGGGAGGCCGAGGCGGGCGGATCACGAGGTCAGGAGATCGAGACCATCCCGGCTAAAACGGTGAAACCCCGTCTCTACTAAAAATACAAAAAATTAGCCGGGCGTAGTGGCGGGCGCCTGTAGTCCCAGCTACTTGGGAGGCTGAGGCAGGAGAATGGCGTGAACCCAGGAGGCGGAGCTTGCAGTGAGCCGAGATCCCGCCACTGCACTCCAGCCTGGGCGACAGAGCGAGACTCCGTCTCAAAAAAAAAAAAAAAAAAAAGAAGTTAGAAAGGTCTCAGACTAATGATCTAACATCACACCTAGAGGAACTAGGAAAAAAATTAGAAACCAAGCCCGAAGTTAGCAGAAGAAAATAAATAACTAAAATCAGAGGAGAACTGGAAAAAAATGAGATGCAGAAGTCCATACAAAAGACCAATGAAACCAATAATTAGTTCTTTTAATTGGTTCTTTGAAAGAATTAACAATATTGATAGACTGGTGGCTAGATTATCAAAGACAAAAAAAAAAGAAGATCCAAATAAGTGCAATCAGAAATGATAAAAAGCCATTACAACTGAGCCCACAGAAATTTAAAAAAAGATCCTCAGAGACTATTATAAATACCTCTATGCACACAAATTAGAAAATCTAGAGGAAATGAATAAATTCCTGGAAACACACAACCTCCTGGTTGTGTGAACCAGGGATGGACCAAGAAGAAAGTGGAAACCTGAAAAGACCAATAACAAGTTGAAATGGAATCTGTAATAAAATCCCACCAAAAAAAAAAAAGGAAAGAAAGAAAAGAAAAAATCCTGGTCAGATGGATTTGCAGCCAAATTCTAACAGATATACAAACAACTTATACCAATTCTACTGAAACTATTCCAAAAAGTTGAGCAGGGGCTCCTCTCTAACTCATTCCACAAAGCCAGCATCATTCTGATGCCAAAATCTGCCAGAGAGACAATGAAAAAAGAAAACTTCAGGCCCATATCCCTGATGAGCATATAGATATAAAAACTTCAACAAAATACTAGCAAACCAAATCCAGCAGCACATCAAAAAGTTAATTCATAATGATCAAGTAGGCTTTATTCCTGGGATACAAGTTTGGTTAAATGTACACAAATCAGTAAATATTATTCACCACCCAAACAGAGTTGGTAACAAAACCATATGATCATCTTCACAGGTGTGAAAAAAGTCTTTGATAAAATCCAACATTCTTGCATGATAAAAACCCTCAACAAACCAGGCAGCAAGAAAACATACCTCAAAAATAATAAGAGCAATCTATGACAAACCCACAGCCAACATCATACTGAATGAGCAAAGGCTGGAACTATTCCCCTTGAAAACTGGAACAAGACAAGGATGCCCACTCTCACCACTCCTATTCAACATAGTACTGGAAGTGCTAGCCAGAGGAATCAGGCAAGAGAAAGAAATAAAAGGCGTCCAAAGAGGAAAAGAAGAATTCAAATTATCTCTCTTTGCTGACAGTATGAATCTTTACATAGAAAACCCTGAAGACTCCACCAAAAGGCTCCTAGAACTAGTAAATGACTTCAGTAAAGTTTCAGGGTACAAAATCAATGTATAAACATCAGTAGCATTTTTATGCACCAAAAACATTCTAGATGAGAGCCAATCAAGAACACAATCCCACTTACAGTATCCACAAAAAAAATGAAATACTTAGGAATACATCTAACTAAGGAGGTGAAAGATCTTTATTATGAGAATTATAAAACACCTCTCAAAGAAGTTAGAGACAACATAAGTAAATGGAAAAATATTCTATGTTCATAGATAGGAAGAATCAATATTGTTAAAATGGCCAAACTGCCCAAAGCAATTTACAGAATCAATGTTATCCTGATCAAAATACCAACATAATTTTTTTTTGCAGAAGTAGGAAAAAATTCTAAAATTCATATTGAACCAAAAAAAGTGTATGAGTAGCCAAAGCAATCCAAAGCAAAAAGAAGAAAGCTGTAGGCATCACATTACCAGACTTCAAACTGTACCATAAGGCTACAGTAACCAAAACATCATGGTCCTGGTACAAAAACGGATACACTGTAATCCCAGCACTTTGGGAGGCCAAGGCGGGTGGATCAGGAGGTCAAGAGATCGAGACCATCCTGGCCAACATGGTGAAACCCCGTCTCTACTAAAAATACAAAAATTAGCCAGGCATGGTGGCAGCCGCTTGTAGTCCCAGCTACTTGGGAGTCTGAGACAGGAGAATCGCTTGAACCCAGGAGGCAGAGGTTGCAGTGAGCTGAGATCACGCCACTGCACTCCAGCCTGGAGATGGAGCGAGACTCCATCTCAAAACAAACAAAACAAAACAAAAAAACAAAAAAAACAGATACATAGACTAATGGAACAGAATAAAGAACCCAGAAAAAATGCTGAACAGCTACAACCATCTGGTCTTTGACAAAGTTGACAAAAATAAGCAACGGGGAAAGGATTTCCTATTCAATAAATAGTGCTAGAATAACTGGCTAGCACACGCAGAATAAAACTGGACATCTATTTTTTATCATATACAAGAATTAACTCAAGATAGATTAAAGATTTAAATGTAAGACCTCAAAGTATTAAATTACTAGAAAAAACAAAAAAAACAAAACACGGAAATACCCTTCTTGATATCAGGTTTGGTAAAGAATTTATGGCTAGGTACTCAAAAGTGATTTCAAGAGAAACAAAAATTGACAAGCGAGACTGAATCAAACTAAAGAACTTCTGCTCTGCAAAATAAATTATCCATAGAGTAAACATACAGCCTACAGCCTACAGACAGCCTACAGACAGAAAATATTCACAAGCTATGCATCCAACAAAGGTCTGATATCCAGAATCTATAAGGAACTTAAATCAACAAGCAAAAAACAAATAATCCAATTAAAAATAGATAAAATACATAAACAGTGTCATTGTCATTTTTATTGTCATTTTTATTTTATTATTTTATTTATTATGATTTTGTCATTTTTATTGTCTTCAGTATTTTTTCAACTATCCTAATATTGAAATTCATATTTTCATACACTATCATATTTAATAAAATTGAAATTTATACCCTATGACAAAGTGTATGTAAATATATACAAATGTATAATTTGTCTTAAAAATTTTCATAGGAAATATTGATATTGTCCAGCAAAGTTTGCAATTCCGGAAATGGAGGAAAAGAATCTTGTTTGTTTCTATCACTATTCTGAAATTATCTGGTCAGTTATAAAAATAACAGGAGGATAAAGGCATTTTTATTGAAGCATAAATAATAAACATCTTTGTAATTTTCTTCATTATTTGCAATTAAATCTTCAAAATTAGGGCATTTCAGATTACTTAATATCTATTGTGTAAGTTTCCTTGCCTTACCTTTTTAGGGTAACTACTAATCATAAATAGAGAAAGGTCTACATGTAGACGATTCATGGTATTCTTTATAGTGATAATAAAAATAACTGCTTATTATATATCAGATACTATACTCTTCTTGGATATTCATTTTTATCAGAAAAATATTTAATTCTTTATAATACTATTTTCTTTAGCATTTTATATAATAAAATAATTTTTTAAAGCTCTAATTAATTTATTACTAGCTACTGAAAATCATTTATAAAAATATTAATATTTTGAGAAAGGCATTAAAAATGGACTAAAATGTAAATTTCAAAAATATGCTCTCTTTAATCTGTGTAAGTGCTTAATTTTTTATATGCAAATATTAACACTGCAATTTGATCTTCAAATACTATCCTTGACTTTTTCTCCCAATTCTTCACTAAATATGAATGCAAACCAAATCCTGAAGGATTTGCATTAAAAAATCTTAATGCAGAATTTTCATCACTCAGGGCTAATTCTGTCTGAAGGACATCTCAAGTTTGTTTCCAGCACATTTAAAATTGAAGAACAAAGTGATAGATAGTCAAATGCCATTACTAGAGTTTGGAAAATATTGAATTTGAATTTTTTCCTTGTAGTATAAATGAGAATGGGTAAAAGAAAATGATATGGCATAGAGCCAGGAGAGAGAAATCTTTGTTATGAAGAAGAGATTCCAAAGACAAAAATATACACAATGAGTGAGGCCATACACTGAGAAAAAGAGAGGAGGAGAAGTAAAGTTTAAAAAAAAAAAAAGAGAGAGAGAGACTAAGGTAGATTGTTTGCAAAATAGCCACAATAATTCAGTTCCTGGTATCTGTACTTTTGGGTACTCTTTACCCACATAAACTTGGGTTTAGCCATGTGATTTTCTTTGCTCAATGAGACAAAAGCAAACACTAGAGGAAGAGATTTTAACCATGTCTGCTCTTGGGGTCCCCCTTTCTTTCTGTGATTATAATCCTTAGTGACCACTAAGTGAACAAGACTGTGCTAATCTGAGGGAGAATGAGGGGCCATGTGGAGAACTGAGGTGCTTCAGCCAATAATCCCCAATTATCTGCCAACAGCTAGACACATATGTGAGGCCATTCTAGATTGTCCAACAGCCAGCTGACCACAGTCACATGGGAGAGGCCAGCAGAGATCACCCACCAGAAGTACTGCCTGTTCAACCACAGAACCACGAACTAAAGTGACTGAGGTGTTTTCAATCACTAAGTTTTGGGATAGTTTGATATAGAACATAAATTAATGGATACAATGAACAATAAATGGAAATGAGAGACTGTCTCTTTTGATGAGAAATCAAACAAGTTAAGCTTATTTATTTTTCTACTTGCTGGTTTAGTTTAGATGTTGGCTTCAGAATTGGTGACTATTTCACTACACTTTGAAATATGCATTAGTTTAATAAGTTCAATTCATCATAAGTTTGTTTTTACCCTGAAAATTATATTTGTTGAAAATTCTAAAAATAACAGCACACTCCCACCACCTACCCCCAGTTGAAGGAGGGTAGCAGGATGGACGGAGAAACATCTTGAAATTGCTCTTTAGATAGAAATAGATCACAGTGTTATTACCTGCATACAAGATAGAGTCAAATTAAAGATTAGGCATTATATTCTATGACTATGAGATTCTCAGTACAAGGTATCTTTTAGAGACAAAAGATGAGGTAATTTTTATCATGTAAATATTATTTAATAGTTTTACTTACATGTTATTGGATATACTTTATTTGATTCTACATTAAATTCAACAGGTATTTATTAAAGTCATTTTAATGTGCTTGACATTTTACTAACATTTACGTTTTCTACCCATTTTGAGTTTTAATATACAAAGCTCTCACAAAAAAACTATTTGTTTATTTTTATGTCAGCCCCGGGCCTCATAATTATCTGGAACAGCTGTAACAGATCTGCTTTCACTGGTCATTAAATCGTATTGTAAGCTGTGGATCCCTTCTTTCTGAACACCAAAGGTCTGTACCATCTCTTTTCTTTGGTTTTTCTAGCTTTTGATTAATTGAAAAAGAAAATATATCTTAACATTTTTATTGTGTTTATAAGGAAAAATACCAATTCATAACTCCTTTTTGGAAGGACAGAGATATATATACTGTGACCGTCAGAGTATAATTGCATCAAACCTATAAGCAACTAGTTAAGTTGGCAATTTAAAACACAGTAAAGGTTTGTTAATGTAGCACTCAGGTGGTGAAGCATTTATTGAATTGCATAGTTTTAAGTTTTCAAACGATGTATTGTTACATTAGTTTACAAAGAAAACAGAAATTCAAGTGAATGATGTCATATGACTATCAAATTATATGTATTGGCATATATACAGAGGCATATAAATCTATTAGAAAGTATAAAAGTTATTTTAATTGTAAGAATTATACAAATGACAACTATCCAAAGGTTTGTTTCTCATAGCCGGCATCTTGTTAAAATAATTTGAAATGTTTGTTGGCATATGTGCAATACCTTGCTCAATTATTTTTCAAATTTAGCAGTACTCTTTGGAAGCTTATCTATCAACGGAGTTAAGACAGTTAATATTTATCAACCTTTTATTGGAAAATTTCAAACATGTAAATATTGAGTAACTCATATGCTAGTTACAATGAAGGATACGGAATGTAGGCTTTAAAGTGGGCAGCAATAAGCCAAGCGAAAATTGGATTTTCTGTTTCTAAAAAGACTTCATGCTTATATATCACAGGATATATAAGCATGGAATGACTACAACTTACCAAGAATTTTCTAATTCTTGATCTTTTTCTATAAGTCAGTTTGCCATGCAAATGTATGTTTTTTTCAATATCCAAGATGAATGTGTAAAATAGGCTATGTCGAAAGAGCATGATTCATCTATCGATCTATCTCTCTATATATAATTTTTATTTTATTTTTTGAGACGGAGTCTCACTCTGTTGTCCAGGCTGGAGTGCAGTGGTGCAGTCTTGGCTCACTGCAACCCCCACCTCCTGGATTCAAGCGATTCTCGTGCCTCAGCCTCCCGAGTAGCTGGGATTACAGTCACGTGCCACCACGCCAGGCTAATTTTTTGCATTTTTAGTAGAGATGGGGTTTCGCCATGTTGGGCAGGCTGGTCTCAAAACTCCTGAGTGATCCACTTGCCTTGGCCTCCCAAAGTGCTGAGATTACAGGTGCAAGCTACCATGCCCAGCCAACTCATCTATATTTAATAGTAATTATCAATAACTAAAATTCCAAATAATTTCCATCGTGGTAATAAGTTTGCTTTATATCATTTCAATATTTGTAAATTGGATTCAACATTTTCTCCCTTATGCAATGTAAGATTTATGTTCACTTCACTTATATATATTGTCCACCTAATCACTATTCAAAACACCAGAGTTAGATATTGATTTAGATATAAATATGATAACTAAAATTTTTATGTAAACATTTGTATCATCAGATAATGATAGATATACCTGTATGACAGATTAGAGATAAACAGATAGATAGATAGACAGATCGACCAATTGATCTATACTGCTCCTTTTGTCCAAGGAGACCAAAAATTTGGACAGTTTTGAAAAGCGTATGTTGCATGTTTTCCCTTCGTTTTGAAAGTTTATGCTTTCAATAATCATTACTCTTTTAACTGAAGTTAGAATTTGAAAAATAGGATGTAAGTAACTTACCAAGACTCAAAATGCTACCAGAGGGCATAATGTAATCTCCAAGGCAAGTTCTAGTGGTCATAAAAGTCACAAAAGTCTTGCGAGTAGCCATTTCATCAATAGTGCATTTATTTATTTTACAGGTAGGAGAAATCGTTGTAATATTATATTTTGTCTGTATATTTTGTAATGTTTTGCTTAAATCAATTATATTCTAATAATCCTCTAATATACCAAACTGGATGCAATTGATATTGACAATAAAGTGTTGGCAAATTCTCCATTCATTTTTCAAACACAGATGAAATGTGAGATAGATGTTAGAGGTTTTAAAGCATTAATAAAGGAGAATTGGCTCTAGGAGAGAGAATGTAAAGTGATTTTTTATTATTATTACAAAGTCATAGGAATATTTCTCAATTCAGAATATTGAAAGTAATTTAATATATTATTTTTCATAGTTATCATAAATATAAATAATCTCATAACATTTATATTTAACAATAGCAAAAATGTCTTCATTTACAATTTTATCTTGACTTTGATATGACTCTTTTTTACCTTTAAATAAAGTCATCTAAAACACATTCATTTTGAGGAAACGTGTAATCTAAATAGCTTCCAGAATTTAAAAAGTAGCTAAACATTAACTCGTATTGTTAGCATATGTAAGAAAAAATATTACCTTAGAATTTCTACCTTCCTAGGATTTGGTGAGAGAATATATTTACATCCAGTAATGACTGTGAGAGTTTTCTCATTAAAAAAAAACAGGATTAAATGATAAAATAGTTTCATTTACCACCAGGGAGTTTTCTTAGATTTCTGATATTTAATTTGGCTTAATGGCTATATTGTGTTAACATTGCTATGCCAATGAATTTTTATACTATTGTAGTTAATAAAAGATAGAATCCTCCCAGCACTTTGGGAGGCCGTGGTGGGTGGATCACTTGATATCAGGAGTTCGAGACCAGCCTGGCTAACATGGCGAAACCCACCTCTAATAAAAATACAAAAATTAGCCAGGTATGGTGGCAGATGCCTGTAATCCCAGCTAATCGGGAGGCTGAGGTAGGAGAATAGCTTGAACTCAGGAGGCGGAGGTTGCAGTGAGCTAAGATCGTGCTTCTACACTCCAGCCTAGGCAACAGAGTGAGACTCCGTCTCAACAAAAAAGATAGAATCCGTAATTTGGTCTATTAAAAGGCACTGACCAACACAGAAAATTGTTTTATCTGTTCTTAAAAATTCATAAAACAAATGGTAGAAAAACTGGTTATAAAAAAAAGAAGGTAGAAAATATTTATTTTCTTATACTGCACAACTACTCCCAAACAAACTCCCTCTCTTAGTAGAATCAGTTGTAACTAAGAAGAGAAAACCAAGAAATCAAGGACTTACTATAATAAAAATCTGATGACTTCAAAATAGAAATGATTATGCCTAAATTTGATTAAATATAGACATAACAAAAGAGCTTATTCAAATATTGGCCCTTTAGACTTGGAGCTTTGCAAGTCTTTGAATAATAAAAATTACAGAAGTTCTGGAATCAGTTAGTACCATGATTTGAATCAATCAGAAATATATAGAAATTAAATTAATAACTATCGATATTATAGTATTTAATATAAGAAGAGCAAAGTGTGGCCATGCTTTATTAAGATGTATAGATTTCAAAAGAGAGAACATGTTATCCTATTATAAAGTTTAACTATTTGCAGATACATGTTGAATTGAGTAGTTATGTTAGGTTTCAAAAATGACACATTATTTAATTAATTGCATTTAAATCTATCAGGGCAGAAAACTTTTTTAAAATAAAAATGATTGGTTATTTATTATGCATAAACTAGGTGTTATGTAATAAACCATGTAAGTGCAATCTATTAGTACAATTAAGATGCCTTAGTGTGACAATCTCATTTTGGATTGATTAGCAGAACAGCTTCAGGTATTCTTTTTTAAAAATTTCAATCTATTTCAAATTCAAAAGTGCTTAAATTTAAAAAAGTCTTAGAGAAATTTGTTTTAAAGGAATCATTGTCTATCAAATAAGTAGAATTTAGGGTTGTATAGCTGTTCAGTATATTCTGAAATAAACTAAGTCAAATTATGAATAAAATTGGCCCACTGACATTGGCACATATTTCTGCATTTCACTTGTAGCAAGACAACCATTGGTACATGGTAAAAAGTAAGGAAAAAGTAAATGTTATTAGCAATGCTAGGTCAATGCAAAATGGCTTGTACCAGGTCCCAGTTAATTGACATAATGTAGATTTGAATGAAAACTCTAGAAACAAATTTTTAATTTGACAATTATTCTTTTTCTTTCTTCATTCACTTTTACTATAGCAAGGTTAAAATCTCAGAAATCTCAGAAGTCACTACTAAATAATTTATACGTGTAACCCAAAACCACCTGTACCTCAAAAACTACTGAATTTTTTTAATTGGCTAGCTAGAAAAGTAGTTAATACTAGCCCATAAATCTGGCTTCTTGATGTTTGTTTTTGGAAAATTAGCAATGAATGAACTTCCTGAGAGAATGAGTCATTCTTGGGAACATGGCAAATGTTCTTGCTTTTGCTCAGTTTAGTCAACGAAAGCATACTCTACTCTGTGCCTAAAGCAGCAATCAATTTAATTTTATGTGTCAATTCCATTAGAAAAGCGAACAAAACAAAAATAAAAAACATGTACACCGACAACTATCTGAACTTTGATAAGATAATGAAGTCGATGACATCTTAAATCTCTTTATCCAAAATGATTTGTAAAACTTGATAGGAATACTTACAAATAGAAAGAATATTCTAATGTTTCTATTGCTTACTTTTAAAATGTTTGGATTGCCTGTAAGTTATTAATTTCTCTCAAATTTACCTTCCTTGAATTACTCTCTTCTACTACAAACTAAGTAATATAGTCAAAACTGACCTCATCTTCTCCATCACCTTCACCTTACCTAAAATGCTAGAACCTATAGAATCATTCTAGATGGCTTCCTTTCAATCATTTCCTTCATTTCTATTCTCTCAACAAATGCTGTATGCTCTGGTCATTTACTGTCTATCATGTGCATCCCTACCTCTTTACTTTCACTGCCTATTCCTAAATTCAGAATTCAGACTATGATCTTTGCTTGGTTGTAACTTAGTGATTATTTTCCACTTGTCTAGAATGCACTTTCCAACTCTCCTTCATATAGCTAATTCCAACTCATCAAGCATGGTTCATAAAACATCTCCAAGAAGTCCTCCTTGACTTTTCCACGTGATAAATTTCTTTTCCATGCTTCCTTAATCCTCTATATCATAGTACTTATGCCATTGAACCGTAACTGTCAATTTATATAACCCTCTCCTATTTGCCTTGAAGGTAGATAGGGTCTATATTATTTTAATTTTAACTTCTTTTCCAAACAAATATAAGGCACTAAATGCTGTGAATATTTGTTCAATAAATACAGTTACCAAAAAATTTATTTAAGATTATCATAGCTATTAATATGTTGAATTCTGTGTCAAAAATGATATTAGATCTTTATTATTGCAGTTCATTATATTCCCTAGATGATGAACTAGGACTTTAAAAACAAGGGTAAATTAATTTTCAGTAGTCTAAAGTTTCATAAATTAAGCCTCATAAATGTCTACTTTGAAATGGGCTTATTATCCTAGGCTGTCAAAAGTAACATCAGAACACAAAAGTCATTCTATATGGTAAGTGAAATTAAGACATAACTTCACAAGATTCAGCATCTGTCTAGGGATACATATCATAGCTAATATCCTTAACTCCTCATAGGTCTTTAAAAATAAAACTCAACACGTATTTACCAAATACCTGCCCTTTGTGTATCATTCCATCAGTAAAAATTACAAACCATTTTTTAAATGGTCCACACACAATTGCAGCAGATCGCTGCACTGCCCATAGTAATATTTACAGCCATGGATCTTTAATTATTTTTCTTGTAATTTAAACTTCTGTGTTGCAAGAACAAGGAAGTGAACTCTATCAATTTTCCCGTTTGAAGGACCAGTCCTAATGAAGAATAATACTACTGGGTTTTTAATTACACATACTTTTTAAACATTTTAATGGTAGGTTTATTTAACTGGTATATAGCATTTTAAACAGTGTACATTTTTAAACTACTATTTGTTGGTGTTTCCAATTTAATAAATTGAATTTTGCACCATGGAAAAGCAATTTTGCAAACATCAGTAGCTTAAATCAAAAATAAATATGGTATAAAACGACATCACATAACTTCAAAATCGCTGCAAGTGATAATTTCAATCTGGAATTTGATCAAAGCTATTAGCTAATAAATTGATCATTAAACTGCTACTGGAGTCAGAGTATCAGAAAATGGACTAAAACTCCCTGTGAAACAATCTGTCAGAGTGTACAGTCAATGTTTTCATTTCATTCAGAAGCAGAATTTTTTCTGCCAATCAAGGATAATGGTTGGAGGGCTTTTTGGAGCAATAGGAAATCCTGTCACCATTTTCACAAGTGGAAAGTAATTGAATTAACCTCAAAATACTAACATTATTCTTCCTCATGTGCTGCTGAAAGAAATAGAATTACACTTCTAAAGAATACTGAAGTGTTTAAGGCAGGCTTAATGAGGGATCATAACTCTACACTAACCCTTAACTCCCAAGTCACGGGGAGAATATTGCATTCTATTGCAGTCTCAAATGCAAGCATTTTTCCCATATATAAAAGGAAGAAAGACTATAATAAACTAGTAATTTTATTTATATTTAAATAAAATTTAAATGTAAAAATAAAATTACATTAAAACAAATACATCTAAATAAAAATAAATAGTAATATATACATATAAATAATAAACTAATAAAAGCTTCATTTATGATTAATGAACTAATAAAATAGCAGAAAATTAAAATTTAATTTTTATTTTTAAAATAACATTTAGATTAAAAGCCCATACTCCTAATAAACAATGGAATTTGAAACTTGTCACGTGAGTGGCCCTAAGACACAAATTACAGCTCTGTTTTAGACTCCTCAAGACAATAAGATGGTAAACCACTCTTTTCCTCTGTTTGAATGAAGTTCTGAGAATCAGGAGCCATTCCATTCTGTAGACAGTTGCACCTCTAATCAAGTGTTCAAGGTGGAAAGCTAAAATCCCTGGGATAAATGGCTGATGAAAGCAAAACTTCCCAACAGCACAGACCAGGAAAATAATGACCAATATTTTATCAAAATAATTTAATATCTATTTGGATTGGCAGATGCCGGAGGAATTAAATTGTCCAGTTATAGGAATTATGGCTAATCTCTCCTTTGAATTTTTTTAGATAAATTTTCTTCTTTACATAACAATAAAACAAATATTTCAAATATTCATTTATATGTTATATATACATATATACACATATACAAACACAAATACACATATAAATATGAAAACATAAGTAATGAAAAATATTTCATCCACTTTTTGTGTATATGTATGTAAATATTTTGTGTATATGTATGTATATAGACATATGTTTATACAAACAAAATTTAAAATGTGCTTTACTTTTTGTGGCTGTTTCCTTGTCTGGATTAACCAGTTATATTATTATAGTAACATTACTTTTCTGAATTTGATATAAAAATTCTGATAACACTAAAATTACTTATTGACAGGTATTCTCACAAGTCTCTGCCCATTTATTAGTGAATTGTTTAATCAAGTGATATAGACCTTTTGTGTAATATTTATGTAGGTCTAACATCTTTCTAAGACTACATGGAGTTAAACTGATGTACCTTTAGAAACCTTTGACTAGTATTTTTTAAGTTGATACATAATGATTGTACATATTTATGGGGTACAGTGTGATATTTTGATACATATATGCATTGTGTAATGATCAAATTAGGATAATTAGCATTTTCATCATTTGAAACACTTATCATGTCTTTCCATTGGGGACTGGTATCTTTCAAGATGTGAGTGGATGTTGAGAAAGGGCTTGTCTTTGAAGGAGGAGAAGCAGTATCAAAATTAACTGTGAATCCATCCCTGTGCAAGAGCAAACATAGCTGGGGGCATTCTCCTGTAGCAGATTCTGCTTTTTATCTGCTTACCATTCGTTCACTTCTTTCTTCTTGTCCTTCCCCATATTTATTTGGCTAGCCACTCGATTCCATCCCCATCTCAGGAGCTAAATATCTACTGTTCTCACCCAATTATAACAACCCCATTTTCTTGTCAGTAACTGGTTAGATGTTGACATGTGACACAATTCTGAACTGGTTAGATGTTGACATGTGAAATTTTGTCTTTCATGTGATATGTTAAAGAAATTTGGCTGGAGGATTCCTTGAAAATTTCCCTCATTATTAAAAAGATACATTCAAGAAGAGATAATTTCTACTTTCAAAAATGTTCATTATGCCTGCGTGGTTGAGTTGTGATGCTTGATGCTGCCACAGCCGACCTGTGACTAGGAGGAGTCTGAGGAGTGAGCTTAGGATAGGCATTGGGAAATCAGAAAGAACTTGAGTCCTCATTGACGTTGTTGAGCCTACACAGCTATGTGTACAAAGAGGGACTAGACTCTTGTACTCTGGAGCCTCCTATATGTGGATTTGTGTGAAATTAGGTAATAAATGTTCTTGTTTTATCCAGTTGAGGTAGTGTTTTATTATTTGCATGTTACAGCATTCTAAGTTCTACTCCAGGTAAGAAGGGGATTACAATCAAAGAAAATTACTATATATTAACCATAAAAAACAATGTTACTAATATACATGTAATAAAACTTTTTTTCATATGTTCTTTCTCACAGCTATAATAATAAACATTTTACAAATAGGGGGAGTGAGTATCTCGGAAGGAAGTTACTTGCCCAAGTTACGCAGCTAATGAATGCCAAAGACCAGACTCAAAAGTTGTGCACTCTGTCTATTGTCTAACATCCATAAGCTGACCTTGTGGGATCTGTAGAACCCAATCTTTGATAAATTTATTTCCAAATTAATGATTCATTGACAGATTTATAAAATGAGTAGGACTCGAACACTAATTTCTAAAAAATACCACTGGTAGAAAATTAAAATGTGTATTATTTCTCAGTCAGTTTGTATACTGGAAAATTTTAATAGGTGGTGTTGGATGCTGTCTCAGGAAGCAGTTGAAGCACCAGCTCAGAACGTTCCAAACAGTTCAGGCATATAACACAAAGCAAGCTGCTCTACGCCTTCCCCACTTTTCTCCTGCCAATGTCACTCCCCAGAGTAGCTACAGGTAGCAGTTCCTGTAATATTGACAATAGATGTAAACTTTAAAAAAATAGTGTAAGTGTAATCTTTAGATATATGAGTCAAGCCATTATTTAAATGAAGTTTAAATATTGACAGATAATTTGATGTTCTCAAAGCCCTTTCACTGGTCCCTTCTCCTCCACTCTTGTCACCTCCAATCTATTCTTCCTAGAACAGCAAACACAATCTTCCCCCAAAAAACTCAGTTATATTGTTTCCCTGTTTACATCTTGCAGCGTTTTCCCCTTACTACTGGGAAAAATTCTCACTCCTTACCGTGAGCAAGAGTCGACATCCTCTGGCCCCTGCCTAGGTCATAGTAGGTGACATTCCTAATACTAATTCCTATCAGTTCTTTGAAGACACTAAGCATTCTCTGGCCTTAGGTTATTTGCATGTGCTGTTCCCTCCATCTGCACAGCTGTTTCTTTGCTCTTCTCAGGACTAAGTCCTTGTCTGTGCTTCTACCTCTGCAACAGTATCCCATTTACAGAGAAGCCTTCCCTGACCACTCTCACCATCCCACCTAAACAAAGATTCCTTCACTTTTCTCTACCAGAGCCTCCCATTGTTTTCATAACACTCACTAAAATTAGCAATCATTTTATATATTTGCCTTCTTGTTTCTTTGTTGCCTGTCTCTCCCACCAGTATGTACGTTCCATGAAGAAGGGCCAGCATTTTCTTGTTTTGTTTTATCAGTATATCCTGAGTTTGAAGCACAATTATCTGATACTCCATCAATGGTGAATAAGTGAATGATTGAATGCCGTTTATGCCAGAATGTGGAGATTTGTATTTATGAGTATTAAAGAGATAAAATATTACATGAAGAATTTATAGTCAGCCTCATTGTATTAGGATATTAAGACACCATAGACTGCTAAATGGCTGGATAAATCAGCTCCTTCTGAATTCTCTTAACAATTTATATACATTTCTCTTCACTGTATGTGCTTTCTATTTTGTATCTCAGCTATTTGTGTTAATATATTTTCTATTTTATTAAATCACAAAGCCCAAGAGGACTTTAAGGACATCATTGGTTTTGTTTTCTTTGGGAAACAAATTGAGCTTTTCCTATTAAGCCCTGAGTGGTGAGAATACAGGGCAAGCAAAAACTCCAACACTGACTAAGCTGTGTGAAGTCTAGAATGTTGCTTAACCTCTATGCATCTTAGTGCCCTCATTTGTAGTGGGACCTGCCTTGCTACCTACTTCATGAAATGTTGGTAAATTCAGAAGAAATACTACATTCAATGGCCTGCACCTAACAAATGATCAATAAATGGTAACTTTGGGTAGTGGGTTTAATGGTGTCCCCTCAAACATATATGCACATCCCAGAATGTGTTAATGTGATTTTAACTGGAAAAAGTCTTTGCAAACAAATTATGGATCTCTAGATGACATCATTCTGGTGTAGCCTAAAGTCAATGACAAATGTTTTCTTTTAAGAGACACACTGAGAGAAGAAATCCTTATGACAAAGGAGGCACAGACTGAATTACTTGAGCTCAAATTGTATATATTACAGAAAGCAAACGTATCACTGCATGTGTATATGCAAATAGAAAGAGAAACGCATTTACAAGATAATTTGGACATACAACCCCATGTCATAATCTTGCTGAATCATTTTTATTATCTATGAAACAGTTACATTGGCTGGATTAGGAGTTGTGAATTTGGCATTACTAAACCATGTGGGACACCTGGGGGTTCCTGAATCTCTGCCAATCCAGTAAAATGTTCCTTTTTCTAGGGAGAATGTGCATAGCTTTCATCAGATCTCAGATGGGTCTGGGACTGCCAAGAGAGTAATAAAGTTTGGAAACTCTTGAAAGTTCTTTCTAGTTGTTGTATTAATATAATATGTTAGGTTTATATCACTTTAAAGCAGCCAAAGGGATTTGGCACGCTATTTTAATCAGTAAGACTCTCTCTTTGAAGACCAAGACAAGCAGAAGAAGGGATTATAATAGAGGTTTCTTTAAGTAAACTTATCTTTCTCAACATTATAATAAAAATCTGCAGGTTTTCCTATCCTTGTGTACAGTCTATCATTACCCAGCATGCTCCAGCAAAGGAAACAATCTCTATCGTCAACAATGTAAGTACAGACTCCAGGTTTCCTTGAACTCCGAAATTGCTATATTCAAGTTAAAGGGTCATAGGTGCATGAAGATAGAGAAAAGACAGTAAATGACAAGTACACAGTTTCCTTGTTTCTTTCAGCATAGGAGATTTCATGCTTACTGGAATAGCTGTGATTCTGCATTTTGTACATTGAAGGCTGTAAAATAAAGGTTAGAATAGATATATATCTGAGAATTAGTCACTATGAAGTTCTTAGAATCCAGTTTGTCTTTTATTCCTTTCTAAAGTTTACCAAAGAGAAACTTAAAGATTTTCCACACAATATCATCACCTAAAGCAAATGTCAACCGTACAAATATATAATAAATCATATGCCAAACATTCTTTAAAGATTTATATATATATGTTCACAAACTCAAGTTAGAATTTTAACCAATTTGAGGCTTGTAAGAAATTAGGTAGTGCCTCTAGAAAGTGAAAGCAAACTTAGTTTTCAGTTTATTCACCAGGAATACATATGAAGAATATAGGGAATATAAATAAAATTATTAGATTATAACAAGGTGCTGTAGGTTTGGCATACCAGTTCATTTTACAGAGCATATGGATAAGCGTCCCTCATTATTTGCAAAGCATAAAAAAAGTTACGTGGATGAAAGTCTTCCACTTAGAAGTCATCAAGTTGGTCTTAGAAGTTGTACATTTAAAGAGAGATTGCTTTCCTCTAAAAATAAACCTTGCTTTGGCTTTTAAAAATAACTTGCATTAGACAAGGCATGGTGGCTCGGGCCTGTAATCTCAGCACTTAGAAAAAATAGTAGAAAAAAACTAAAAACCATTTGTATATATATAAAAAGTTGTGGATATATGGTTGTGTAAATACATTATAGATACCCATAATTATACACAGTATATTTGTAAATATATAATATTGTTCAGAAAAATGACAGTATAAATATAAATATTTAATAATCATGATTATATGAAAGGAATGAAGATGAATTTCAGTGGCAAGATATGCAACTATGTTGTGTAATTTTTTCAACCCAATAAAGTATTCAAGAATGATTTATATAATTAAAATATTTAAATGCTATTCTTAAGCAGGAATAAATTCTATATTTTTATAACCTTTTATACTTCAGTTATCACTAGATTAATTTGCTTATTATGTATTTAAATTAATTATATTTTGTGTAAAAACTGACAATATTTATACTAATAATCTTTTACTTGATGATTTTTAAAGTTTCTCTGTTTTTATGCTGGATATAATACTTGATTATCACAAGTTTAAAGAAGCTGAGGCCGGCGCGGTGGCTCATGCCTGTAATCCCAGCACTTTGGGAGCCTGAGGCAGGCGGATCATGAGGTCAGGAGATTGAGACCATCCTTGCCAACATGGTGAAACCCTGTCTGCACTAAAAATACAAAAATTAGCTGGGCATGGTGGCGGGCACCTGTAATCCCAGCTACTCGGAGGCTGAGGCAGGATAATTGCATGAATCCCAGAGACGGAGTTTGCAATGAGCTGAGACCGTGCCACTGCACTCCAGCCTGGTGGCAGAGCAAGACTCTGTCTAAAAAAAAAAAGAAGAAGAAGAAGAATTGTAAAAATCTCTGTAGTTGAAAACCTGGGCAGGTGAACATTAAGAACTGGCATTCTAAAGCAGTACTGAGTGATCTAAGCATGGCTTGGTCAGAGAAAGAGGGAATACCCAGTTAATGTGAAGAATCTCCAGTGTATAATTAGAATATTAAAGCAATGCCATCTGTTAATACTTCAAAGTAGTAAAGCACATCACAGAAGTCACTCATTACTATAGATGCATTTCCAAATAGCTTAAAATTTAAGTGTTTGAACCTTTTTCCTCTATCCTACTCACCTTAAAATGATTTAATTTTGATCCTAAATGTTTTAAATTGTAGTACATATTTACCTTGAATCACAGTAGCATGAAAAGTAAATGAGTCATAACAATAAAAAGCAAGAAAACACAAAAGCTTACCCAGAGCGCAACTGTATAATCTGAAAACCTCATCCCCAAATCCCTAGGGCTACTTCTTGAAGCTCCTGGGGGATCTTTCAGCTATAGCATGCTGCTCCTTAGATGCCCCCAAGAAAGGCTGAAAAGCTCTTGAGTCTCTGTGGTGACATCTTTTGAAACTTCCTAAGGAGGTGATGTTGTCACTTCCCTCATCTGGACTGCTCACTAAGCTGAAGCGCAGGAATTGGAAAGGAGAGCTCTCCTTCACATCTGTGTTCAATTAACTATTAGATTAGCATCAAGCGCCGCCTCAGCTCTGAGTACTTCATTGGCTCAGCCAATTATCATTTTCTTAAGTTAATTATAATTTGACTCCATCTTTATTATAATGGCTAGGCCAGAAGGTAATCAGATTGGCAGGGTTTCCTGCTACTCTCAACACTTTCTTTCTTCAGATTTCTGACAAATAATTATTCCTTTTTTTTACACTCCTCTCTTGTTTCTTCAGAGTGAGTTTCTTTCCTACCTGAGATTATTATTTATCCAGATATCTATCCAGAGTATAATTATCTATGAGATTAAAAATTAATCTTATTCCTGAGAGACTTAAAGATTTGAGTTTCATAGATATAACTTCAAACCAAGCACATCCAGTCACTGATTTTCACATGGGGTTGCTCAGCGCTTATGGAGACTGCAATCTAACCTTCCCCACTCACGAGACATCTAGGCCTGAGCCATAAAGTAGACATAGAATGTGAATCACAGATTTAAACCACATATAAAACTTTACATCGTTTGTGAGCAACATTAACAATAAATAAATAAGAATCAGATGAAAATTATTTTAAATATATTTTAACCCAATATATCCAAAATATTATTTCAATATGTAACTAATATCAAAACTTATTAATAAGATATTTTTATTTATTGAAATGGAGTATGTATTTTACACTCTATGGCACATCTCACTTTGACTAAAGTTACACTTCAAGTGCCCAATAGCCACATGTGGCTAGTAGTTATTGTATTGGATCATTCAAATATGAATGATCCAGAAATACCTGGTTTCAAAGTGGCTCAACAATGCATGCTTGGTCTAAAAACCTTAATGCTTTTATTAAGTATCAAATTTCTGTATACCCTGTCCAGGGATAGACTTCTCACACCTTGAGAAATGGCTTCCTCAGATCAATATATCATAGCATACTATCTGAAATTATATGCTTTGTTCTTCTTTTTTGGATTGCAGAAATTGTATTTCTTTTTACTGTAATCATTTTTGTTGTATACTACATTGCTAGGAAAAACAATTTTCTTTTGTTCTTAAGATACAAGATTAGTAACACATTTTCACTGTAAAATGTCAAACACCTAGAAACATGAATTAAAAAGTGAAAGTGCTCTCCCTTCATAGTCCCTATTCTGTTTTCTAGAGTTAACTTTAGATTTACTGTGTATCATTCTAGGCAACTTTCTATATCAGAGATATTTAGAAAAGGGTATTAAAAACCCAGATTTATTTACAACATTTAATGTAGGTTTTCTTCACCTAAACAAAAATGCATAGATTCACTGGCAAAATCTGGAGCGTAAATATATTTGATGACTATTGGAAATATTAGGTTGCCTAAAGCAAGGCATTGCCCTGTCCTTTCTTGATGACAGAACCCCTATTTTGTCTGAGTGTTCACGCTCACCATTGTTAGGTGTACAGAGAAGCACTAAAAAGTAGAATATTGATCATTTAAAGCAAATTAGGTAATTCCATTTCCTAGCCCATGACTGATTTGCTGGACATATGTGATGTAATTCTGCCCAATTAAAATGAGGGATAAGGGGAAGGGATTTTCTTGTTCAAAAAACTTAGCTGCATGGAAAGAAACAGTCTTCCATTTCTTCTGGACCTTGCTGTCTAGCTATGATGCCTGTAGACATATTGGGCTTCTGAAAGGTTTCAGCCTAAGAGTACAAGTTAACATACAGAGAATCAGAGGGTGAAATCATGGACAGTGCCTGGATCTTTAATATGATCGCAAAACTGCTGCTTTACTAGAATGTGAGATTATAATAACCTTCCCATATGTTAACTCATTGTTAGCTGTGATTTCTGTGTTACTTGAAGTTTAAAGCATCTTAACTGACACAAAACATGAAGGAAAATGTTTCATATACTTTAGTAAAAATGAAATAGGAATTATTTCCATTAGTAAAATGAAATTTTAAGCTACTTGTTCTTGAGCAGGAAGTTTTAATTTTCTGTTAATTTATTTCTTAATGTTATCCATACATTATAAACTTTATCTTAGAGTTATTTGCAAAAAAAAAAAAAAAACAAGAGGAATTCTTTAAGGAATAGATAAGTAAATGTTTAGTTTTACTGCCGATAGAAATACAATTTACAAAATTTAGATAAGCAAAATATAAACACACTCTCAGAATTATTTATTTTTAAAGTATTTTGAGTGCATGCAAATCTTTATTGGATTATAGGATATCATGGGACCTGCTGCCAGTAACAAATTAAAATTATTTTTATAGTATGGTAATTTTGTTACTGTTAAAATGCTACATTCTGTACATTGCTTAATGAGTTTTTCCAGCGTTCCAACTCCAAGTTTGAATAAAAGGTAACATAAAATTTATTATATTTATGAATAAATAAATATATTTACCATAGATGATACAATATTAACAAAAAATAATTTTAGCTACAATTTGGTAAAGCTGAATTCAAATGTTCTTTGAACATTTCTATCTATTTTATGGTTTTTACACATATAAATTAAGAAAATAGTTTTTGTAAATTTAATAGAATAGGAGAAAATTATATAAGAACCATATAAAACTGCCATTTTTTGTAGGCAAAATATTCACAGATGGGCAATCTCACAAGGTTTGAACAAAATAAACACATAAAACTTTTGCAAAAAGTACAAAAATAAATATCTTTGCATTTCAAGGGTTTTTGAAAATCATCAAATAAGTGTAGACTTCTTATGCCACTTGCCCTAAGAAACAAATCTAGAGCTCTACTTGATACAACAACTGGAATATAGCAAATGAGACAGGGTGAGTGAGGATTGCATTTTTTAAATGTATTCACATCAATTTTTCTATATAATTTTAAATCAAGCATTTTGATCCAGTTATAACATGAAACCTAGCTTGCATATATAGTCATGCAAAAAATACAACCATAACATTGCCTTATAAGTGTAATGTTTTGTTCCAATTGTGAGAATAGCAATATTCAGAAGTATTTGTATATTAAAATAGCATGGTGCTTATATATTAATGAATATTTTAACAGTTTATGGAGAGTATAATGAAAAAATTCTTTACCATAAGCTTTAGAAATACTGCATATAGTAACGGTTTTATTTTTTAAATGTTATTTACATATAAAATAATGAAATTCGGACATCTTTTTTTGCTGTGAGAATTACTATTCAATATCAAACATACTTCATGCTAAAATCTGGACTGAAGCTAGATAAAATGAATAAATATATACTTAAAGTTATGCTAATAGGTATGTTGGTGGTAATAATTTGCTTGCTGTACTTGCAAAGTGTAAATTATTTCCAGGTTTAAAGTACTGTTGAGTCTATTCTGTGTTTTAGTAGTCTTTTTGGTTTATGTAATTTTAAAATAACAGATCTAAGTTTAAATTGTTTTTCCACCTACCTCTACCAATGGCCATTACTTAGATTAAGCTAAAAGACCTGAAACATTTTCAAACACCACAGTAATATTTAGGAGTTGAAATTATCAATATTTGATGATTGAGTATTGAGGGACAAATTAAATGGAGAGAAGAAAGCAATAGGTTCAATTTGCTATGCAAGAGGACATATCAAGTAATAGGCAGTTAATACGTTGGTTTGGTATGTAGAAAAATGTCTCAACTGAAGGTACCAAATTTGCGAGTAATTGCCATAAAGGTGCAAACTAAGATAAAAGGAGTGAATAAAACAACTGAAGTAAAGCCTGGTCCCAGAGGAAAGAGAAATAGGAGAGAAAGGTGTCTTGGAGGATGACAGAAGCAGGTGTTTTAAAAAGGAGGACATGAATAAAATCAATTAAGCTGAGATCTAAAAGGTATTCATTGTAGCAGGCTGCTAAGGTAGTTTGTGGCCCAATCATGAAAGACTTTGTTTAATAAACATTTTTTTTCTTTTAGACAAGGCCTTGCTCTGTTGCCCAGGCTGGAGTGCAGTGCCACAATTACAGCTCACTGCAGCCTCAAACTCCTGGGCTTAAGCAATCCTCTCACCTCAGCCTCCAAAAATGCTTGGATTACAAGTGGGATCCACCACAACTGGACAATAAACTTTAGTTACTAGCTAGTAGTGGAGCATCAAATCATTTGAAGTGGGGAGGGGCAAGATCATAAAATCAAATTTATATATTTGTAATTATCTCTGAAACCTCTCTCTCTCTCTCTTTCGCTCTTTCTCTCTCTCTCTGTCTCTCTCTCTCTCTCTCTCTCTCTGTGTGTGTGTGTGTGTGTGTGTGTGTGTGTGTGTGTGTGTGTGTGTGTGTTGGGGAGGGGGAAAGAGTTTTGGAGTTGAGATCAGCTAGAAATACATAATCTGCTCTAACACAGTCATTGTAGGATTGGAAAGTAAAGCACATAGATGATACAATATTAACAAAAAATAATTATAGCTACAATTTAAAACAATAAACAATCTTAAAACAATATTTAGATATACAATCAAGAATACTTAGTACCTGTGAGTAGAGGCTGAGAAGCAGTGAGAAAGAATAAGAGATTCTTTCTATAAACCCTGGGCTTTATAGACTGAGGCCACCACAAGGACAGTGGTGCCCTTAACTGAAAGTAAAGATGGAAGAGAGAAACAGGTTTGGGTTTTGTTGTGATGAATTTCATTTTAAACAGACTGAATTTGGGCAGTCAAGGTTTATCCATATGGAGAAATCCAACAAGCAGTAAGATGCCCGGGTCTAGAGATAAAAGAGAGTTCGGATGTACAGATATGTATCCAATCGGCCCTCAGTGCAAGAGCAGTGTATCCATATATTTTTCAATTTTACTGTGGAAATACATAGCATAACATGTACTGTGTAACTGGAAGTTGGCTTCTTTTGATGGCATTTGGATAACTATAATTACCTTCATATAATAATTGTTAAACTATATTCAAACCAGACATATAAAAATATTTCATTTCACATTTGTTAAAGAGTGTTTGTATTTGGAGGTACATGAACCAGCTCTGTACTTTTTTACAATACTATCACCAGCATCTTTAGTATTGAGGCTGTTCCATATGGTGAATTATGCCAATATGGAGAACTTTGCCAACTCATTCCAATTACAGATTGTTTTTCTCTAGACAGCATGGAGTATTTTTATGCTGTCTGTCAAAATACACTTTTTTGTTTGCTTTTCATATAACATTCAGTGTGTAAGAAGGTGAAGTGCTTACGTGAGAACAATTTAAATTTGTGCAGCCGGCAGGAAGTTTATTTAGCGCTTTGTTCCATAAGAGGGCACCTGAATTTTCAAATGAAATTACCAGGATTTTCCAGGTGCAGGTGATCAGATTAGGGATGGGAAATATGCCAAATATATGTAAACAAACGAACCATTTCCAAGAATGCTGAAGGAAACAAGTGGAAAAGGATCAGACTAATCAGTGCTGGAATTTAAAGGACTGATAAGTTAACCTACTGGGTCTCCCCCAGATTGCCAAAATAATTATAGCGCTGTGCTGTAGAGAGGATGAGCGCAAACCTTCCTAGGTTTTTCTGGAAGGGTATGAATTTTGGAGTCTGTCTTTGCTCCCATATTAGAATATTTATTAGTACCAGATCACATGTATGATTTTTATTTTGAAAATATGTTATAGTGGATAGTGGCTCATTACTTTCTAGTATCCGTTTCCCCTTTCTAAGAACCTGATTTTAGTCTGTATATTTAAACCATCTCCACATAGCTCAGCACCCCATCCTCAGCTCTTGGGTGGGTATAGTATCCAGAATTTGCTGGCCAGTGATTGCTTTTAGAAACCAAGACTAAAATAAATGGTCTGAATGATTCACTTTGCATCTGCAATTTGTTTAGTAATGAGTATCCAACCCAATTTATTCCAGTTATGTTTGGGGAGGGCTGAGTTTTCCAGAGAACTTCTGGGAAAAAAAAAAAAAAGCTCCCTGTTTTTAAAGACAGAAATTAGTAGGCCTCTTTCCCTGGACATTAGTGATAGACCTGGAGATTGTGTAGTTATCTCATCACCAGGTTGAGGGTAAAGCAGCTTGTGAAGGAAGGCTAAACTAAAGAGAATCTAAGTGAAAAGAAGCTAGAGTCATGTTTGAATGACATCTTGATTGAGCATCGCCTACTTTCAAGATTTCTTCTTTTAAATAAGTCATTAAGACAAAAAAATTGGTTTATCTATTACTTGCTATCAAAAGCATCCTCATACTAATGCTTAAACAGCCGTTTTTCACAATTCCATGACATATAAAATGGCTTCTCTTTTTCTTTATGTAACACATTTCTTTTTACTTTATTTTCAGATTAGTTTATATTTACAGAAGATTTGCAGAAACAGTACAGAGTTTACATATATCTTTCCTCTGGCTTTCCCTAACATTAAAATTTGACTATGATACACATATCAAAACTAGGAAATTAATACTGCCATAATGTTATTAACTAAACTACAGGCTTTATTCAGATTTCACTGATTTTTCCACTAATGTCCTTTTATTTTCTCAGGATCCAATTCAGCATCCCAGATTGCATTTAGTTGTCATATCTTCTTAGTCTCTTCTATTCTGCAGTATATATTCATCCTTTCCATGCCTTTCATGATCTTGATACTTATAAAGTACAAGTCAGTTATTTTGTACAATGTTACTCAGTTTGGGTTTCTCTGGTGTTTTCTCATAATTAGATTGATGTAGTGCATTATTGGGAAGGATACCACAGAGAGGAATCACATCTCGGTACATCACGGTAGGAAGTTTATGATTTGATAAGTTACCCAGATCACTTGGTTAAGGTGGTGTCTGCCAGGTTTCTCCACTGAAAAGGTTTTTTTCTTTGTAATTAATATATTTTAGGGAGAAATAATTTATGACTATGAAAATATTCCATTTATCTTTAAACTTTTGCCCACTAATTTTAGCACCCTTCCTTGTGTCTTGCCTGCAGCAGTTAGTACTGTGACATTCTAATGAGGATTTCTTATTTTCCTCATTTCTTCTACATTTTTAATTGTAATTATTCTGTAAGGAAGAGTTGTCTCTTCTCTCATTTACTTCTTTATTCAGTTACTTATTTATATTAGTATGACTCAGATATTTATATTATTATTTGGGTTATGATCCAGTAATATCATAACTGATTTTATTGCCCAAATTGTTCCAGCTTCAGCCATTGTGAGGTTTTTCAGGTTGGTCCCTATGTTCTTTTGACATCCATCTTTTCTTTTCTGTCTTTTTCCTTCTTTTTGAGCACATTAATGCTCTAGATTCATCTTATATTTTTCCTGCTCCAGATCAACCATTTCAACCACTTCTCCAAGGAACCCTGGCTTCTTTTAACGGAGAACGATATCCACTGGATATGCTCATTACTAACGTCACTGCTCCTAGGCTCTCAGTGGCTAAAGAAAGGAGACATATGTATGTATAGTAACACATTCATACATATAGTTGTAGTTTAACTATATAATAAATATATAACTGAATACAGAATATTTGCTTTTATAGCTAGTTCTGTGTGTACAGACATATACATATATGAAAAATTCATAAAAATAATCTAGGAATCCTGGCTCTCCACCCTACTTCCTCCACCTGCTTTTCCAATACCTTAGCAGATGTTGCTTACCAGTCTCTCCGTACCCAGTTCCCCATTCTTATTCATCATTCTACTAGACATAGGATCTCTTTTTATTGAAGCCCCAATCTCTTTTCTTGCTCTCCCTGTGATCTCTGATCTCATGATGGCATCTTAGACCTTCCTATATTTATCTGTGTAAATCTTTTAGCTGCTTATTAAAGTTGTCATAGGCACAGAAAAGTAATATCGCCAGGGTCAAATAATCTAACCGAAATAACTTCCTAAGGGCAAGGTTTTAGGAAACTCTTCATCCTACAGTTCCTCTTCCATCAGTCATTTGAGTTGTTCCAATTACAGTATGCCCATTTAACACTCAAATCTATGACTACAGTGTCTCATCAAAACTGTGGATTGACAGTTAGACCAACGGAACCGGTGACTGCCTAACACTACTAGAAAGAACACTAATACTTAGCTTATAGAACCACCAGTGCTATCTATTTTATGGATATCACCCACATATCTATACTCCTGGAAAGGGACATATCCACATAAGTACCTCCTCTGATACCAACAATGTGGTTCAAAAAGTCTATAGCCACAGTGTGCCAGACTAGACAAAGACCAAAGACATTTAAAATTATGATTTAAGTCCCACCAAATTCTTGGTCATGAAAGTCTCTGGTTATTGTAGTTCTCAGGCCTTATGTCAAAAAATCTTGATACTCTTTTATGATAATTATTTTTGCTAAATGAAATGTGTCTCAGCCAAGAAGGGCCTTAGTGATACTCATTCTGTAATCTTCTGTATCTGTGGACTTTCTAGTAAGGCTTCAATCAAATCAATGCTCTGTATTAGCACTCGGTTCTTTATATTCATCCATTTTACTATCTTAACTGTGTCTTTCTCAACACAAGTTCCTTTATTACCAGCTTTCACTCATTAAGTTGTCCTACTTAGCCTTAGCAAGATTTCTAATTATCTTGCTCATTTTCAGTCAGCAATTGATGCTACATTTTATTGGACTTATATTCACTTTGTCCAAACATAGATTCAGCGTGTATAAATAATATAGCACAACTATACTTGTCTTGGTTATTGCTATGGTAAACTAATATGAATTCATCAAAAATGTTCTATGTAGGCAGTCTGGAGCCAAGTCATTGCAATCTAACATCAAACCCAATTCTAATACTCACAGTACTACCCCTGATGTTCCTATAGAACTTTTATATTTCATACTCTTGTATAAAGAGAGAATTATCCTATTAGCTAAAATATTATATGTATAGGTATACAAGAATGTATATAAGAGACAAGGAGTTTGAAATAATTTAGATTAGAAAAATGATCAGGTTCACTTTGTGGTGCATTTCTGGAAGTTAAAAGGAAGAGAAATATTTCGAAGGCATTGCAACTAACTTTGTACTGTTGTAACAAAGCTTCATATCAATATATGAGTTAGGTTTCCAAAGGTTCTCACATAAACTAGATTTATTCTCATCAATATGGAGAGTTGTGGTAGTTGGCTCCACTGGGCTGAGAATGCTGAAGCAGGGGTAAGCTAGATCTACCTTTAGTGGCAGGCCTTATGGTAGATGGCACAGATGGGCACCAGGACTGTGCCAAAACCTAAATGCAGTAAGATCTTGGAGCTAGCATTATTCTAGTATTTCTCTGCAGATGTGAAATGTTCATTATATCAAAATGTAATTGTTTTAGAGATCCTTTAAAAGACTCTAAGAATGCCACCATGATAAATGATGCCATTTTATTCTGTCGGTCAATTTTAGTCAATGAGTTAGTGAGGAAAAGCATTGAAATAATTAAATAATATAAAGAATTGAATATAGTGGCTTTTATAAAGTGACCTTGGGTTTTATTCAACTATTCTTTGCTTGCCCATATAGATAACTAAGTCAGTGTTTATGTCTGAAATATCAATGGTGAGTCGATGCTATTGTACAGGCTAGAGTCCTCCCTTTGGAAGCATGCTGTGTTAATAATGCTAGCGGTTTGCTGCTGCAAGCATTTGCAGAGAGAGTTGAAACTGGGAGAAGTCCAATCTTGTCTTAAAGGGACCAAACGTTCATAGTCAATTAAGCTTCTCCCCACTAAGATATTTACCACAAGAAAATCTATTGTGACACCCCTTGGTGTTTCTGAATCATTTGTATATGTCTTTGTCATCACTTATCTCATTACATGCTATACACCTAAGTGTATATAAATTTACTCTTTAAAACAAAATCTATATGTTATATATCTTTATACCTCTTTGACATAAAATATGTGGCACTCATTAAATGTCAGTTAAATAAATGAATAAGCAGTAAATATTGTGGAATTTTTTTATAAACACAGTCACTGGGAAAACTTTCATCGGCAAAACAGTTAAATTTGCCTAAATATTTAAACTTATCTTTTGTCATACTTCAGAAAATGCATATCAAATATAAAAATTGTAAGAACTCTCATTTTTAAGGTAAAAAATAAAATTAGATAAAGCTCTATGATTTTGAAAGCCTTGGTAAAGTAGTAAGGACACATTTTATTAAATACAGAATGATGTCATTGCAAGTCACTAGTGCTTAATACTTTCCATTTCTAACCTTTTCTAAAATAGTAAATCTAGAGGAAACATTAAGTTACACAGAACACAATGTCCCTTTCATTAGCTATGGAATTACTTTCTTTTCCCCTTCTAGAGGGGTAAAGTATTCTGTGGTTAAGCAAAAGTACAAAACTTCCTATGTGAATATAAGACACAGGAGAGAAGTAATTTGATCATTTTAATCTCATGGATGCCAAAATAGTTCATTTAGACTGTGAGCTCAAATTCAAGGAACCCGCTTTTGCTCCAAAGTTGACTTGTAGCCATTAAATACTTTCATAGCTGGTTTTTAATAACAGTAAAATTAAGTTTATTTTTGTTAACATAAGTATGAATAGTTATACTCAAGATGAATACAATGGAAATGAGTATATATTTTTCCCATTAGATAACTATTACCTAACACTTTACATACAAATAACTACATTCAGAAAACCAGTTAATACTATTAAAAATCATTAGAACTACAGAATGGTATGAGCAGAATAAACAAGCCTTTGTTTAAGAGTATATGTCTATGGTGTTCCAACCATGTTTTACACCCAGCCTTGCATGAGGTCTTGCTAATGTGTTGATGATGGTGTCCGTGTATGTTTGTGTGTCTGTTTCAAAACAATAAATAGTACAATTATTTTTAAAAGACCGTGTTTGAAATGTTAGAGGCGGAACCCATGTGTACATAAAGAATGGCAAACATTTTTGAATGGGCCTTTTCTACACAAAAATACATTTAAAAGTAACAGATTTGTAAAATACTTAATTTTGAGTAATTATCATATTCCCATCAATCATACTACATAAATGCATCACAGATCAGTTTGAAAAAATTTATGATATGGCTCCCAATCTACTTTTACTCTCTCATCCTTCCATTAAATAATCCCTACAGACTCGATAACAGACTTTTCTATTCTTATTCCATGTATACATTGCTCTGGCAGCTTTGTTCATAAAAATCCTTCCAATTTAATGGCTCCTTTGCTCTCATCTTTGTCAAAATTAGAACTCTGCTTCAAAGTCCATCTCAAATAATGAATGAGTTACACTAGAAAGGAAGCATCTGGGAATTATCAGGACCAAGAAATATTAATTCTTTTTTTTTTTTTCCTTGAGGCGGAGTCTCGCTCTGTCACCCAGACTGGAGTGCAATGGTGCTATCTCGGCTCACTGCAAGCTCCGCCTCCAGGGTTCATGCCATTCTCCTGCCTCAACCTCCCGAGTAGCTGGGACTACAGGCGCCCGCCACCACGCCCAGCTAATTTTTTTTTTTTTTTTTTTTTTTTTTTTTTTTTTGTATTTTTAGTAGAGACGGGGTTTCACCGTGTTAGCCAGGATGGTCTGGATCTCCTGACCTCGTGATCCGCCCTCCTCGGCCTCCCAAAGTGCTGGGATTACAGGTGTCAGCCACGGCGCCTGGCCGAAATATTAATTCTTATAAGCACGGCAGAATCTCAAGAAACTTTAAGATGAAACAGAAAAAAATAGTACTTTTTGTCAAACAAAGTCATCATCACAGATAAATAAAAATAATAAGAAATGGGTGGAACGTGATGTTGTAAAAAGACTAAAATGTAAATCCCAAAGTGCAGTACTAAGTGGCAATTACTTAGACTAGACTCTAGAGAGTCATGGTACTTGGAATAATGGCATCCTCAAAGATGTCTACACCCCAATCTCAGAAACTTATGAATATGTTATGGCAAAAGAGACCTTAAAGACTTGATTAAATGAAGAATTTTGAGATGGGGAGTTTATTCTGCATTATCTGGGTGAAACCAATGCAATCACAAGAGTTGTTTTAAGAGAGGAGCAGGAGAATGCGAGGGAGGGAAAGAGATGTGATGACGAAAGCAGAGGTCAGAATGGTGCAAGGAAGGGGCCCCAGGCCAGGGAAAGCAAGTGGCCTCTAGAGGAAAGGAAATGGATTATCCCTAGATCTTCTAGAAGGGACACAGACCTAACAACCCACTTAAGGCTTCTAACCTCCAGAACCATCAGATAAATTTATGTTTAAAGAGACTATGTTTATGGCAACTTGTTACTTGATCATTTCCTACCAGCAGTAGGAAACTAATACAAGAGTCAACAGACTTCAGTGAGAGCTACTTGGGTAGCAGTCAATGAAAACCACTCAGACAAAAATCTACATTTTAAATCACATTTTGCCATTTATTTGCTGGGTGAACTTGGGCAAATTACTTACTCTTTTTTTTTTTATCATTCTTACACTGGAGAATGCACACAAGTTTTCTTTCTCTGAGCACTCTTCCTCCGTATGTGTTCTAAGTGAATCTGATATATAAGCTAATTTTTTTGGCTCAGTTTTGCATATCTGACCCAAGCTCTTATAGTCATATATTCTTTCCTGAAATTTTAGAATGGGGCTTGAGAGATAGCAATTAATGTTGGTTAGCCTCCTGAAGCTGTAAAGTGACTACCTTTCTCTCGTCATGTGTACAAAGAAATAGAGAAAATCAAGCTACAGATATAGAGAGAAAAGCAAAGGTAAGAGACTGAGGGAGTCTCCTTCCTGAGATCTTAATGTACTGTCAGGTCCTGATGCTTCTGCCTTCTTGAGGCCCAGTTACGTTGAATATCTCTGGTTCGTGAAACATCCCCTTATCTAATAATAAATTTGTCCTGTATGTTTAATCTAGCAGAAGTTACTTTCTTTCACTTATAAATGATTTGACATAAAACATACCCTGATGGGGAGATGTAAAGACAAATAATGATGTAATCAATGTGAGCATATTCCTGGGCATATACTAAGAGTTCAATAAATGGCAGCTGTGCTTATTTGTATACTCTCATTACTACTAGTACTACTACTTCTGTTACTACTGCCATTACGAGTCACTCTAAGTAGTGGAGACGATTCCTGTATGCTCTGGGTTACCTGGGGAATGAGATGGGTGAGGATTTTGTCTCCCTAATTCAGTTTCAGGATAGGAGTAATGTAGTTTTTGTTTCCATCCCTGTCTAATCATAGGGAGTCACAATAAAGTAGATAACACCAATAAGACAAAGCTAGGAAATGTGAGAAAAACAAGTCATATTCTCTGTCAGTTTGAAAGTGTCACAAATTACAAATCATAATTCATCAGCATATGAATGCCACTGCCTTCACAAACTTCTTTTGATACTCTACCTGAAATTTTCACATAAGCATGCCTATCTCCACGGCCCTCCCCTATCCAGACAGATATGCCCTCATCTTACCTAGAGAGGTCTAAAATACCTGGCATTTAGAAGCACTTTTTTTTTTTTTGAGACAGTCTTCCTCTGTCGCCAGGCTGGAGTGCAGTGGCTTGATCTCAGCTCACTGCAACCTCCGCCTCCTGGGTTCAAGTGATTCTCCTGCCTCAGCCTCCCAAGTAGCTGGGACTACAGGCATGCGCCATCACACCCAGCTAATTATCGTATTTTTAGTAGAAACGGGGTTTCACCATGTTGGCCAGGATGGTCTCCATCTCTTGACCTTGTGATCTGCCCGCCTCAGCCTCCCAAAGTGCTGGGATTACAGGTGTGAGCCCCCGCGCCCAGCCTAGAAGCACTCTTAAATATTAGTTTCATTTTCTTTTTATGGCTCTCATCACCTTTTGTTTGTAATGATCCTATACTGTAGTAATACAATTTGCCCATGTGATTCATACTTTAACATGTATTGTTATTATTTTACATCATAATTGTCTTAATAGATAAAATTACACTTGACTCATTTGAATATTATAGATAGCATATAGTAAGTGTGCAATAAATATTTGTTAAATTGAATTGAGATTAAAACTTAACCTATCAGAAATGTGTAATTTTTATTGCTTTATGCGTAGGTCCAAGAAAAAGAAGCTATATTGTATAAGGTTTCTTCGATAAGACTCCAACCCAATATTGTATTTCTTTATGATATACCACTAACCCAGTGGTCCAAGTCTTCTACTCCTGGGAGTAATAAAGCATTTAGAAAGGTACTGTGAATGTGTACATCAATAGCTCTCACCCAAATACCACCCAAGAAAACCCTGAAGTTCATGTAAATAAACATGAACATAATCTAATGAGTATTAGATTGTTTTCAGTTCTTTCTGGCCATATTAGGGAGGTGAAACACAAGACATAAAAGAGAGTAAAAAAGCCTGAAACTTTGTGACAGGTCCTTTTTGAAAAAATTTATGCTATGAATAGGAATATCTGTAAATTAATACCAGGTAGAAGGGATGAGAGGAGGAAGCTTTGTATTCTTATGATTAACAAAGCTAATACTACTTAAATAATTCATAACTTTAAATATAGAAAAATGACATATCTTTTCAGAAAAAACTAGATGCTACTGTAAACATTTTATTAAGAAGATGAGAAAGTACTCCATCTGTAGTATTAGTTTCAGTTTAGTTGTTTAGCAAATTGATTCTATTAACAGCAGTGAGATAGATATAGTTTTATTTAAAGTGTAAAGAAGAAAGACCAAAAGCTTAAGAACTTTTTCACAGAAGCAAATACATTCTAACCTTTAAGCCATATTGTTTCATCTACTGTAGAGCTTTGCATTCTTCTAAAATATTGTTTCAAATCTATCTTTGGAGCAGTCTATTGCAACACAACAGTACTTGTAACAAGTGCTTATACAAGCATTTGCATACTTTTCATTGGACTTGGCTACTCCCCTTACATGCGTGAGTGTTTTTTAAAGGCTATAAGAAGAAAATTAGGTGCTAAGAAACTGAATAGAAAATTAAATTTGTATAGAAATTATCCTGCCAAGTTATCTTCTATCAGAAATTTCTTCATGTAGAGAGAATGAAGAGATTCATATCCCTAATTGCATGGTTCTCTTAATGAACTTGACTATAACCACAGTTTCTGGAAAGCTAAAACTTCTAACAATTGATAAGAAGACTCTTTGTTTAACAGTTACAATAAAGTACATTAGCAAAGCAAATAGGTTGAAGGAGGACAGAGAAATTTTACTCTCTCCCTTTAAAGTGAAGCAAAATTAGTTTAATAAGTAAAACGCATATACAGAGAAAGGAAACTTCTTTCTTCAGATGTTTTATTCCATTTACATTCTATGTCTATGCTCTGAATCAAGTTGTCTATAATTTGGAAAAAGTACTTGAATGTTAAAAGTCTCTGACTAAATTTAGGTAGAAATGACACAGTTTTTTGAATTTGGTTTTAAACTTAAGTGGTTTTCTCTCTCTATATATATATGTATATATATCTTGAAATTTTAAAATTAACAATTTTAAAAATGAAAAATTTTGACACATTTATGTGTGTGTACATATATATACATATATATGTATATATATATATGTACATACACATACATACAACTGGTATATAACCCAACATATATATATATACACACACACATATATATATGTACACACACATATATATATTTACTTTAAGTTCAGGGATACATGCACAGAACATGCAGGTTTGTTACATAGGTATACGTGTGCCATGGTGGTTTGCTGCATCTATCAACCCGTCACCTAGGTTTTAAGCCCCACATGCATTAATTATTTGTAATGATGCTCTCACTCCCCTCGCCCCCCACCCGCTGATAGGCCCTGGTGTGTGTCGTTCCCCTCCCTGTGTCCATGAGTTCTCATTATTCAACTCCCACTTATGAGTGAGAACACGTGGTGTTTGGTTTTCTGTTCCTGTGTTTGTCTGCTGAGGATGATGGCTTTCAGTTTCATCCACGTCCCTGAAAAGGACATGATCTCATTCTTTTTGGCTGCATAGGATTCCATGGTGTATATGTATCTCATTATCTGTATTCAGTCTATCATTGTTTGGCATTTGGGTTGATTCCATGTCTTTGCTCTTGTAAATACTGCTGCAATAAGCATATGTGTGCATGTGTCTTTATACTAGAATGATTTAAAATCCTTTGGGTACATACCCAGTAATGGGATTGATGGGTCAAATGGTATTTCTGGTTCTAGGTTCTTGAGGAATCACCACAATGTCTTCCACAATGGATGAACTAATTTACATTCCCACCCACAGTGTAAAAGCATTCCTATTTCTCCACAGACTTGCCGGTATCTATTGTTTCCTGACTTTTTAATAATCACCATTCTGACTGGCATGAGATGGTATCTCGTTGTGGTTTTTATTTGCATTTCCCTAATGACCAGTGATGCTGAGCTTTTATTCACATGTTTCTTGGCCGCATAAATGTCCTCTCTTTTTTTTTTTTTATTGAGATGGAGTCTTGCTCTGTTGCCCAGGCTGGAGCACAGTGGTGCGATCTCAATTCACTGCAAACTCCACCTCCCAGGATCAAGCGATTATCCTGCCTCAGCCTCCTGAGTAGCTGGGATTACAGGCACCCACCACCACCCCCAGCTATTTTTGTATTTTTAGTAGAGTTGGGGTTTCACCATGTTGGTTAGGCTGGTCTCGAACTCCTGACCTCAGGTGGTCCACCCTCCTTGGCCTCCCAAAGTGCTGGGATTACAGGTACGTGAGCCACTGTGCCTGGCCATAAATGTCTTCTTTTGAGAAGTGTCTGTTCATATTCTTTGCCCACCTTTTGATAGGGTTGTTTGGTCTTTTTCTTGTAAATTTGTTTAAGTTCCTTGTAGATTCTGGATATTAGACCTTTCTCAGGTGGCTAGATTGCAAACATTTTTCTCCCGTTCTGTAGGTTGCCTGTTCATTCTGATGGTAGTTTCTTTTGCTGTGCAGAAGATCTTTATCTTAATTAGATTCCATTTGTCAATTTTAGTTTTGGTTGCAATTGCTTTTGGTATTTTCGTCATGAGATCTTTGCCCACATCTCAAATATTTTAACATTTTGAAATCCAGAATCCCAATTACCCTTCCGTAAGCAGCAATCATTACATGTTTTGTCAGCATTCAGCATCCTGCTGGTAACTGTACTTGACGACAAAATTGAAAATTGACTGCTGTCTGGGATGCATTTCAAGCTGCAAAATCTTTGTAAGTCTTGGTTTACAGAAGGAAGAGAACAAAGTAGTTAATGGTTCTTTCTGTCATGGTGACCTAGAAAAAGCTATTGAATTGCTGATTCATTGGCCTTAATATTTTAGCAACTTGCCCATTTTTGGCAATCTAATGAGATTTTTTTAAAATCAGATTTGGGAACCAACCCAAATGTCCAACAATGATAGACTGGATTAAGAAAATGTGGCACATATACACCATGGAATACTATGCAGCCATAAAAAATGATGAGTTCATGTCCTTTGTAGGGACATGGATGAAATTGGAAACCATCATTCTCAGTAAACTATCGCAAGAACAAAAAACCAAACACCGCATATTCTCACGCATAGGTGGGAATTGAACAATGAGATCACATGGACACAGGAAGGGGAATATCACACTCTGGGGACTGTGGTGGGGTCGGGGGAGGGGGGAGGGATAGCATTGGGAGATATACCTAATGCTAGATGACACGTTAGTGGGTGCAGCACACCAGCATGGCACATGTATACATATGTAACTAACCTGCACAATGTGCACATGTACCCTAAAACTTAAAGTATAATAAAAAAAAAAAAATTAAAAAAAAAAATCAGATTTGAAATTATTGTTTTTAACTAATGTATGTATTTTCTACTTGCATATTATATTGTGGCCAATATTAAATTACAAAATGAGATTTGCTAAAGTGAAGCTTCCAAAAAATATCTGATGTTAAAGCTAAAAATACTATCATTTCACAATCTTTCTGTTATATGTAGGCTACTTAAAGTATAATGTAGGGAATGACAAATATTCCTATTTTTTAACTGTTAAGTCCACACAAATGCTTCTATGTATAATTGTACCAACACTTCCTGTTTGGTGCAACTGGAAATAGTTCCTATTTCAACCATTTGGGTGATGCTGAAGAGCTCCCACTGAGCGAATTTGTGTGTCCATTTGAAACCCCTAGTGTGAAATGACCTAAAGCTGTACTTACATAACTTTTAAAAAGTACAGATTCAACCAGTCAGTTATTGTGTCCACATGACAACAGATAATGTGTTTAAATTATTCTTTTTACAACTTGATTGACTTTCTCTTTTTGAATATATGAAAATCACTGGAGGTTTAGGGGTCGTGTTATCAGCCTAACTAAAATTCTTCTCCACTCACTCACTGAGCATGTTCTTTACTCTTGTAATTTCATTGCCATACTGTCTTGTAGAGGCTTTGCTTTGCCTATGTTAATCATAAGGGGAGAAGGCTGCCAATATTGATTAAGTTAGCCAGAGTATGGCAGTGCTTCATCCTCATTTTTACCTATGTAGAGAAAACTTAATATTTTTAATATTTATAAGATTCTATACAAATATAAACTGGGTCATTGGCTTATTCTTGATTTATTCACTTGAAAAATGCTATAAAATAAAAATTTGGAATACTATAAGTATGATCAAGCTAAAGGATCAATAGGAGCTTCCCCAAAGAAGAAGTAAATGTGGAGCTGAAGTGTAAAGGATGAGTAAGGTTTAGAAGAGAAGGAAGGAAGACAAAAGAATGAATGCATAAAGTCATATATAAAGGCAGAGAGCCTTTTTCTAGGAAAGGCTGGTGAACTGGAGGAAACAGTGGGAGGAGGAGCCTTGGAGACCCATTCAGGATTTTTATTCTGAGAGGAATTAGAAACTATTGAGGAGTTTTAATTAGAGGTGTGGTATAACCAGATTGGAATTTTTTAAAGATTATTTTAGCTGGTTGGGTGTGGTGGCTCCCACCTATAATCCTAGCACTTTGGGAAGCCAAGGCGGGCAGATCACCAGGTCAGGAGTTTGAGACCTGGCCAACATGGTGAAACCGCGTCTCTACTAAAGACGCAAAAAATTAGCTGGGCATGGTGACATGCACCTGTCAATCCTAGACACTCGGGAGGCTGAGGCAGGAGAAGTACTTGAACCCAGGAGGCAGAGGTTACAGTAAGCCAAGATCATGCCATTGCACTTCAGCCTGGGTGACAGGGCAAGACTCAGTCTCAAAAAAAAGAAAAAAAAAGATTATTTTAGCTTCATTCAACAGAATGAAAAGAAAGGGAGCAAGAGTGGATACTCAGAGAATAGATAAGAGATTATTGCATTTGTCCAGTTGTCTCTTTTGTAGGTTTCTCCTATTACTGTATTATTTTTTAATACAAAATAATAGAGCCTTAATAGGAATTTTTTAAAGGAAAAATTTATTCATAATCCTACTACTCTTTCAGAACTACTTTTCTTTTTTTCATGATTTTTTAAAGTTTTTGTCCAGAGCATGCACATTTTATATCATTGAATTTATAGTACATATATAATTCTGAGCTTCACATTTTTCATACTTTTAGTATGGTGAGCTTTCAGTTCATCATAAACAACCCCTCTCTTGTTCTCACTGTATATTACATTCCATCAAGATGATAAGTCAAAATTGTTATAACTAGGCTTCTTTGTGGGTCTAGAAGCACTATAATTTGAATTCCATAAATATTCATGGATTGTCTTTTGGGGATCCATGAATTGTTTGAATTCGTATGCAAGATTTTTAGTGTATGTAAGTTTTGTATTTTTCTGGAAAATTCATTAGATTTTCAACTGGTATATAACCCAACATGGTTATGGGCATATTAAAACACTCGAAGTTGGTAAAATCCCAAGTCTCATTGTTTGAGAGATGTGAGAAAAAAAGTAGACTGTGGTATAACTTGCAGCATAGAATTTCATTCATTTGAAAGATTCAAGGGAGTCCTGCCAAGAAGTAAAAGTAAAGCCATCTGACAAATCTCTACGTAACAAGAAATTGTAGAGAAACTTCTGAGAAATTACTAAGTATTGAGAAAGATAATTTAAATAGTGTTATATAAAGTGTATTTCCTACACATACATTTCACATCTCTTAAAAACATTTTAAATAATGTTTTAACCTCTACTGTATATTTTATCATATAGCATAACCATGAAGTTCAAAAAATACTCAATAGTACAAAAAAAGGTTATGTTGAAACAGTGTATGTCAGTCCCCTACTTCATAAAATGATGATATTTAAATAGAAAAACTCTACTTAACAACAACAAAGGTTTACATTTACTAGAAAAAAATTATGATACGGATCAGGCACACTGTCTACTTTAAACACATGTTTAAAAGTACATGTATGTACTTTCTCAAACTTTTGCTTAGAATCTATGTTTTCAGAGACAAAGTGATTGAGTTGGCTAGCATCTAAATTTTGTGAATATTTTAGGTACATTTCTGCTTAACTTATTTTAATATTGTATTGAGATAGGCTCTTCCAAATATAAATAAATATTTTAGGCCTTAGGAAATTATCAATATTGTACTTTGTGTAGCTAACAAAATTATGCTACCCTATTAATCAATACCACTCTCATTCAAACAACCATCATCTCCTACCTAAACTATATATTGTGATCAACGGTGATTAATTTAACAATAAAACAACAGATTTTTACTTACCAAATCAACTATATCTCATATAAATTAAAACTTGGTTTATTTAAAACTCATTAAAAACAATCTTGCATAAAACTTGTTTATCACTTTCTTATCTGAAACAAATATCCTAAGTTAACTAAACAAATTATTTTTCAAAATCATAGTTAAATTATGTACTGAATGCTTACTTTATTTTCTAATGTATTTTAAACCTTACATTTATAAAATTAAATATTGTATATTGAATAATTATGGACAATAGGATTTCTAAAAAGCCAAAGAGACTCCCCTCTATTTGGAAAGGAAATTAAACGAAATACAGTACAATGAACTGCAAAATAAAATCAAAATATTTCTGGAAAATATTATCTATCAATTTAAAGATAAACTACAAAGAAATTGTGAAAACAATGTTTTAAATACCTGAGACAAATAAAGCACAAGACTTTATTAAGAATATAAGAATGTATTACAGATTGGCAGACTGGATTTTAGTCTGAAGTTCCTAGAATGAAAAAGATGTAGAAAGCTCACTCTACCAATCTATCCTGTCTTTCTAGTTTTCTAATTTTCACCCTCTGTAGGCATAATTTCTGATATAATGAATATACAGCACTTGATGAATATACTTTGAATGTGTGTGCATACTGAGTAAATCTAGAGCCATTCCTCTTATTTTCTATTTTATTTTCTGGACTACTTAGAATACAGAGTATATGTTCAGAAAAAAGAATTATTTAATTTAATTCATATAGTTATTAAAATTTAAACTTAATTGTCCCTTGAATTTTTTAATCTTATAGATATTATAAATGTTACAACTATGAATGGTCTACTACATTAATCTAAATGCTGCTCTGCAATTTTACATTTTCCTAGCCCATTCTAGAAAATATGATACTTTCCTTGAATTTTAAATACCTTGTTAGGGGCTAATGTATGTCCCTCTTAATATTAATATAAAACCCATATGTTGAAGTCCTAAAGCCCAATACCTCAGAATGTGACTATATTTGGAGATAGAGACTTTAAAGAAGTGATTAAGCTAAAATGAGATGGGGAGGGACACAGACAGGGAAGACCACATGAAGAATGAAATCACAGGGAGAAGGTCATCCACAAGCAAAGGTGAGAAGCTTCAGAAGACACTAACCCTGCTGGTAACTAGATCTCAGGCTTACAGCCTCCAAAATTGTGAGAAAATCAAATTCAGTTGTTTCAATCAACCCCTCTGTGGTACTTGGTTATGGCAGACCTAGCAAACTGATAAACACCTTCTCTCTTCCTCCACTCCTTCAGTGGAGAAACTTGCTTTATATTTAAGAGAAATTCCGAGTTCCCCCACCACCATCAAATCTATTAGGTTGGGGCAAAAGTAATTGCGGATTTGCCATTGCTTTCAATGGCAAATTTTAGGCAAATTCCTAACTACCTGTGTCAGCTACCTCCACCCTGCTGTCTCTCTGCATCTCTATGGCAGCCCAGCCACTGCTCTGCTTTAAGAAATCCCGTCTCTTACCTACTCAAGGAAATCAGCTCCCCTTTTGCATCATCAAATTTTTCCGTACCCCAGATCACTCCATATATATTTATATATATTATATATAAATTTATATATTATATATTAAATTTATATATTATATATATAAATTTATGTATAATATATAAATTTATATATTATATATAATATATGTGTAAATTTATATATTATATATATAAATTTATATATTATATATATATATATATCTCACATCCAGATTGGTGATATATATTATGCTATAGGTCACTCATCTTCAACCATTATCCCCCTTGACCTTAGGTCCTCATCTAGCTACCACTCATTTCTCTTCATATTTATACTTGCTCCTTTCCAGCAGCCTTCCCCATCAGGAAATGACAGCTTCAATCTTCCAGCTGTTCAGGCCAAAACACTTGGAATCATCCTTGGTACCTCTCTACCTCCCATATCCTACAAGAATCTACTGGCAAAGCCCATCAGTTCTACCTTTAATATCCATAATATCTTTTCTTTCTTCCTTCATCAATATCACTCATTCAAGCAACCATCATGTCCTACATAAACTATTAAAATCCCCTACAGATTTATTTCCCTGTTTCAAGCCTTGCCCATAAAATCTATCATCTGCCAGCCAGGATTCCGGCCTTTTCAGTCTGAGAGTCAGACCAAGTCATTCCTCACTTCAAAACTCTTTAATGGCTTTCCATCATACAGCTTATGTCTTACCTTTAGCATGGCAGCAGAGGCCCACATGATCAGCTCCCCAATTGCCTTGCTGCTTTCATCTCCCACTGTCCTCCCTGCTCCCTCCACTGTTAGAATTCACAGAAGGTATTCTAATGTCAATGCCTTTGCACCAGTCAGTCTCTCTGTCCACAATGCTTTCCTTCCAGGTTTCCAAATTCCTGTAATTCTCTACTCACATATATCACCTTATCAGAGACTCCTTGATCATCCTATGTAAAAAAGAATCCCTGGAACACTCTAATCCTCTTAATCTGTTTTACTTATTATTTATTTATATTCAGAGTACTACTCAACCAATAGAATATATAATATCTTCCCCTACCAGACTATAAGTTTAATTAGGGCAGGAAATTTGTCTGTTTTATTCTCTGTTATATCCTTGGAATCTATAACGGTAATAATACAATTCCTTTCCTAAATGTATACTCTCATGCTCTCAGTAAATACAATTTTAAGGTCATACTATGGCAGGCACTGTGATAGAAACTTTAAATATGATACTTAAATAAATCCAAAGATCAATCCTATGGAAAAAATAGGTATATCTTACAAATGAAGAACTGAAACTTAGGTAGCAAAATACCCAAGGTCACACAGCCAGAATTTGACTGTGTTTTCAATTGATTAGAAAAATAAGCAAATAAAAATACCTGCTGAGTCCTGACTGCCTTCTTAATGCTAAGAGGAGATTTTGATAATTGTAGGTTCGTCCAGTTTGAACATTCCTTGCTTAATTTAGCCCTGGATTTTAAAGAACAGAGTGTTCTACTGTCACTAGGGGTGGGTAAAACATATACATGTCTATTTCTAGGACAAGCCCACACTTGCCCTTGGGAAAAAGCCCTTTGGAAACTTTGCTTTGGAGTTTATATAGTAATTCCCCAATAAGATCTCTTCATCTTTAACACATATGTTTTATAACAGTTAATATTTCATTCAGAAAACTAACCTGTATACCATTAGAAAAGAGTTTGATATATAAAGTGGGAATGATCTTTCAAAACTCATATCCATGATTCAGCCAGTACAGACACTGAATTTGAATTCAGTTTTGTCATTTGCTAGCTACATGGCTTTAAATTTAAATACATTTAAATAATTTAAATTTTTTAGCTTGTATGTGATATATGAACAAGGATATGAAGACATTTGGGAGATTGGAGATGGTACAACAAAAGCATTGAGATATAGTAGATATTTTATGAAAATAATTTCTATTCGTATTTGAAAAAGCATCCTATCACAACTACTCTATAGTCCGAAAACAATGGAGACCCTGCCTTTTTGAGTATTCTAATGAATCCATTTAACCCATCCTGCCTTTCTCCTCATCCTCCTGTCAGTAAGAAAATGACATACAGAAAAGAAAATCTAAAAATATACAGAAGTAAAACATGGAAGGAATTATCAATTCTTCCCTGTGAATCAGACTGTATGACTGCCTAAAATAGGCCTAACAATGTCATGTGTTTTTAATGGAACACTGTAAACCACAAAACAATGTGAAATGACTACTGTTTTCAGAAAGTGCTCTTTCTTTACTCATTTCATCTAAAATTGAACTAACAAAGAGCCCTATTTACCATTTGCATAAAGAAATGGGCCTACTCTAATATAATCTAAAACCAGATTTCAGGCCTAAAAATAATTCATATTAGTATGATTAACAAAGCTTTTGAATTAAGATTGTCAGTATTTTTGATGCACATTTCAATTGTTTGGATCATATCTTATTCCTAAGATCAAGATAGTAAAATTAATTTAAAAAATAATAAACTTAAAACAGCACTTTGGGGATGATACAAACACATTTTGAGGCAGTTCTTTAAAATAAAATACTTTTCATGTATCTCTCTTATTTTCCACTGAAACTACATATTTCGTCTTAGTTTCCTAGTCATCCCTATTAAAGAGTAAAAAATGTACATTTCCTTATATTTATTTAACAAAAAATTACAAAATAATGACTTCTAAAGATGTAGCATCTCTTGAAGCACTTAAAACACAAAACAATATTCATACATAAAAGCAGGAAAATAAAATTTCAAAAATATCACTGAGTCTCTAATTGGAGCATCAAGTACGTGAGGTTGAAAAATGGAAGTGAGAATTATTTTCTCTACCCTTCAGTCTTTCTTGATGTTACTAAGAGAGAAGATTTTCTGTTTGTCCCTGAAAGTCTCAAGTAATTAATAATTGCACCTGTTGCAAGATAAGCCATTGCACTGCATACTTTTTAATACCTAAGATGGGAGAAGAAGGAATTTTGGACACAATATTATAGGTAAATTGAGCTTTTCACATTCTTTCTCAGTGCCAAAATTCAGGACGTAAACAGCCAGACAGATTTTATTCCCCGTTCAGCACTATGGACAGCCAGCCAGAAGTAGTTTTCCCGTTCAAATATAACAGATGCTGTGTTTCTTCCTTGTAAGGAAAGGATTTCACCACATGTACTTTAGAGAAAGTTGGCATGGCACAATCAGTTATGTGGAGTGACACCTGAACATAATTTATTTGTGTGCAGAGAAAATAGTTTGCTTAGTCATGTCTAGTAGCAAAAATATTTTCTTCACAAATAAGTGTGTTGCCAGTTATCAGTCAAGAGAGGGCAAGTTATGCCACAATAAAAAAGAAACCCCCAAAATCTTAGTGGCTTAAAACAACAGACTTTTATTTCTAACCCAGTTTACATATCCAAAGTAGGTGTTCAAATGAGATCCTGCTTAGCAAGCAACCTTGGGACCCAGGGTGACAGAAGTTCCATCTTGGGAAGTACATTCATGACTACTGAGGCAGGAAAAGAAAATGTGACAAATTACACTCTCAGTCTCAAAGCTCACAGTTTCTGTGCACAAATGTCATTTATCAATTCTGGCTTTATTTCATTGGCCAAAACAAGCCAAAAAGTCAAGCTAACTTCCAAAGGATGACAGGGATGTGCAATGATGAATGCCCAAGGAAGAATTAAAAGATTAATAAATAGTTTGAATGACTAGTTCACCAACAATCAAATTTAAATAACATCCTATCCATTGCTCTTAAATAAAATATTGTGTTATTAATACACACTCACTGATCATCCACTTTAAATAGAGCAGAGCACTATACTCCAGGAGAAAGACAGCAAATAAGATACAACTCCTGCTCTAACATATTTAAACAATACCACCACCAACACAATCTTCATCATAACTAATAACAATAGCTAATAGAATAGGGCATTTTCTCTGTGTCCAGCACTGTTCAAAGGGTTTCTGGGGCAACTTTATACCTTATCTCTCAACAGGTAACCTGAAATGACTACCATTGTTATCCTTAGTTGGAGATTTGATTCCTCCAAATAATTCTAAAATGTAAATATACAAATTGTACAGTTTACACTACAGGTGACGTTCAATTCATATGAGATTTTTTTTTAAACCCCTTACTTAGCAGACAGTGTGGGACTGAGGGCCCTGAAAACAGAATAATATAATGATGATGAAGGGAATAATTTAGGGAAAATGTAAGAGCTTGGACTATGACCCAGAGGAAAAAATAGGCTCTACCAAAATGTGATCAACCATAGGTGAGTATGGGTCCCCTAGAAGCTGGCTGGGGAAGAAAGATGTTTTTATTTTTAAGGAAAGATTTATAGGTTAAAAAATACATGAAACTTTTGGGGGTCAAAAAGAATAACATTAATAATGTCACTCTTTATACACGCCCCATCATTTTTTACTACAGTTGGAAGGGATTTGCACCTATCACCCATACTTTCCCACCTAAATGCAGATTATAGCAACGATAAAGTAATACTTCTATTGCTGTAAGTGAAACACACAAGACTAGAGAGCATTGTCTTCAGTGGAAGAAGCGTGGGGGAGTTACCTTAGATATCCTGAAGAAATGTTTTCAGCAAGCATTGTTAAACACAAGCCAAAGCGAAATACCAAGGGCTGTTGTGGAATCTCTCTCTCTCTCTCCAGAGGGGTTTATTTACTACACAGAATTTTTTCATCAGGAGAGGTTTTAAACAATCCTGCTTAAAGTAAGAAAAATGGACTAACTTGATTAAGAAAAGGAAAAAAAAAAAACATTGGTAAATTGTGGTGGGTTAAATGTATGCCCTTGAAGAGATTAGACCATGAGCTAGATAACCCGTTGGGGTCCCTTTCAAATCTGTGCTCCTGTGATTTCAATAATTATGTTCAGTTGGGGGTAAATAGCTCCTGATAATTATGTGTGAGTCTATTCTCTTAACCTTTTGGCAAAGAGAGTATATGTATTACAAAACCATTTCAAACTGTGGTAGTAATTATGGTACACAATATAGAAATATTTGGATTATTACAAAATTTGAGGTAGCTAGGGCAATTGTCATTCATGCTATGTCCTATTTTGCATAAGAAAAGTAAATGTTTTGCATTTCCTACTTTTGTATATGTGTGTTATAGACCAAACAGAAATGCCAAACATCTTAGAGATAACTAGCTTTGAGATGAAACATCTTACCAGAATAGGAAGGGGAACTATATTTGACTTTTCATAAAAATTGCTTTAATACATTTTAATAAGATTCTAATAAAAAAAAATAGCGGGCAAACTGGCTCCAGTCTACTTATTCAATGATATTCCCTGCTGTTTTTCAAAAGTGCAACTTTCCCCTGAAACTCCACTAAAACTTCTACTTTATTCTTGCCTTTTTACTTGAGCCTGCAGTTTCCTCCTCCATGTCTTTTCTTCATTCAAGTTGTGAAGGCCCAGATGAGATCCCACCTCTGACAAGAAACACTCTTCATTCTTCTTCTTTCTTTCTTTTTTTTTTTTTTGAGACGAAGTTTTGCTCTTGTTGCCCAGGCTGCAGTGCAAAGGCGTGATCTCCTCTCACTACAACCTCCACCTCCCGAGTTCAAGTGATTCTCCTGCCTCAGCCTCCTGAGTAGCTGGGATTACAGGAGCCTGCCACCACACCTGGCTAGTTTTTGTATTTTTGGTAGAGACGGGGTTTCACCACGTTGGCCAGGCTGGTCTCGAACTCCTGAACTCAGGTGATCCACCCACCTTGGCCTCCCAAAGTGCTGGGATTACAGGCGTAAGCCACCGTGCTTAAATATTCCAATTTATGCTCTTTATTTTCTTCATTTTTAATAATCAATTTGGTTACAATACCAAACTATACATTAAGAATTATTGTTTTAAATAGAAAACACAAAGTGAAAAATGTATTTTGGAATAATTTAAAATGTTTTGTAGCCCACAAATTTCTTTCTATTATTTTTGTCTTTTTAATGTTTTATGTTCCTATATAATCTTCATTTTGCAAGGTTTATATATAATCCTCCTCTGAGAATGACTAATTTCTATTTCATATGTGACAGATAATAAATGCCCTAAGGTTAAGTATAAAGGGGTGAAACTAACCCCACCAAATATTTTTCCTTAATCATGTCACAGAGTATGAAAGGTTTCCATTTCACTTACTGGAATTTATTATTAGAATAAATTATTAATTTATATTAATAATTTTATATAAATTTTATATAAATAATATATAATTTTATATAAATTTTATATAAATAATATATAATTTTATATAAATAATATATAATTTTATATAAATTTTATATAAGTAATATATAATTTTATATAAATTTTATATAAGTAATATATAATTTTATATAAATTTTATATAAGTAATATATAATTTTATATAAATTTTATATAAATAATATAATTTATTAATTAATAAATTATTATAGATAACTAAGTCATTTTATGAAGGAGGAAATTGTAAATCACTGTTTGATGGGCTTTTTCAAGGTCGACTCATGTGCCAGATGCTGATCTGGAATTCTGACAAAGTAAAGTAGTGTTTAAAAAGCATTCTTTCACAACAATTAAAAAAGTAATATCAATATAAAACATGATTAAAAATAAGGAGTCGAATGACTATGTCACCAACAATCTAAAATTTAAATAATGCCCTGTCCATTGCTCCTAAATAAAATATTGTCTTATCAATACACATTCACTGATCATCTGCTATAAATAGAAAAGAACACTATAGTCCATAAGGAAGATAACAAATAAGACATAGCCCTTTGTGCATTTTGCTTTACTCATCACCTACCTTTTATGGTCAAAGTGGGATGGTAGATGACAGAAGAGATGGCACCAGCATTGGGAGTGGTGAGAAGTCAGAGAAGAAAGAAGTCAGAGTAAGAAAGGTAATGAGAAACTGGTAAAGTGAACATTGTCAGTACCTATTATGATTCAGAGTTTTAACAATGAAGTAGCTACTGTTTTACTTGTAGTTGAAAAAATTGATGTTGATGAAGGTTAAGTAATTAACCCAAAATCACACGGTCTGAAAAATTAGAACAGCTGAGGTTTAAACTCAGGTTTCTCAGATACCGTGGAATCTTTATCTTCTCTCTGATCTCATTATACAGCTAGTTGCCTTTGTGTAAGTGACAAGTAAGTTTTTTTATTTTAGTACTTCATTTTATAGCTACTACTTCATTCTGGTAAAGCTTATAAGAGTTTGTATTTAATAGTATCAGCCACCATGTCCTCAGGATGCTTATTATAACTAGAGTGGCTTTATCAATAAAACAGGAATATACAAAGTCTGTTGCCTCAAGGTTATTCTCATTTGGACAGTAATTGATCAAGTATTGGTAAAATTTACCTCAATGACTTTATTTTTTCTATTATTTGAGTAGCTAGTATTTTTGTTGCTGTTGTTAAAATAAAATAGCTTTACAGGCATTCTAATTATAAATGTCAATATAAAAGACAGTTCAACTAGGTATTCAAGAGAAAGTGAACATAATTCATATGCTGCTGCCCAAAGATAAATACAATAAAATACAATAAAATTGGGGCTATCTTTCATACACATGCATGCATATATATTTTCTCAAACATGAGATTGTTATACATAATGGTTTATCAAATATCTTATATTTTCATCACATATGATACTGCAGGCATACACACATGCACACACATGTATATGTGTACTGTATACACACATAGAAAAACATACCCATCATACATTCTTATATAGTGGCTCAAAAATGGTCCAAAACATTATATTCTGATGGATATTAGAAAACTGTCTTTTAGAAAACTATAACTCCTTCTGTTAAAATCATTCTTTTATTTTTACATTGTAATACCTTATTTAACAAGTCTTGCAGAACTTCGGGTCATTTAATCTCTTCTGGATGCTTATTTTTGTTCTTATTATGTATTAAATTTATGGAACAACTTTTAGTAGTTATTATAATTTTATATTTTCCGGCCATTTTTCTAACATACAGAAAAAAAATTCTTTGATTTGCCAAACTTAGCCAAGAAATTGAAATAAAAAATTTTAGATAAATACAAATAATTTTAGGATAAGTATGTCCACTAACAATATTTGGAACACACTTGAACAAAGCAAAATATAAAAACCCAGAAACAAAAACAAAAAACATCGTGTTGCTTATCTGGAGTTTACTTAATTGACTTTTATATTGTATCAAGCAACCATAAATGTGATCCCTTGAGCTACAACAACCTATTATTAACACATTTTTGTTATTTTAAATGGTCCATCAATTCTATTTGTTTTCAGTAGAAAAAGAGAAATGAAGAAAATGTTGGTGGTGTTCACTGAAGCCCTGTACTAAGAATCTTGATGCTATCTCTGGTCTTAAAAGGAAAAAAATGACACAACTTATTAATAATACCTGCTATGGATATACTAAGAAGGAGTTATCACACTTGCCTTGAATTTGTCACATTTGAGATAATACTATGTCCTTCCCTCACTACATATTTTAAAAGGAGAGACAAAATGAAAGTACATAAATTAGAAAAAAAAATGAGTGCTACTGTTGGAAAAGAAGATATAATATCATTAACTGTGGGTAATATAAATATATACCTGTGTACCTGTGGACAGAGATAGATAGATAGATGATAGATAGATAGATAGACAGATAGATAGATAGATAGACAGATAGATAGATAGATAGATGCAAAACCATGTTTGCTCTTTTATTAAAACCTCTAAAAATAATATCCTGACATTTAGTAGGTAATCAATAATTATGCTCACTGAAAGTAGTTAAATAAATGATCTATTCTTTATTTAATAAGTCCTGGGAGAAAAGAGGGAGTTTCTCATTTTATATGGCCTCCATAGCTCAGAATGAATAAAGTGATAGGAATGAGGGATTTTAAAATATTCAATAAGGTCTTCTGCAGACTTCCATACTAAAAAAAAATACAAATGATGAAAGGAACACATAATTTTGTGAGATAAATTTGTTCACTGACTTTGGTGTATTTCTGATTTGTATTTACTAATCAAAAGTCAGAACTGACATATACCTAATATTGAGAATAAAAATCTGAATAAACCTAGCTTAAAGAAAGTAAGCATGTTTAACCTACCAACCAAAAACAGCCTAGGACCAGATGGATTTACAGCTGAATGCTACCAGACGTACAAAGAGGAGCTGGTACCATTTCTCCTGAAACTATTCCAAACAATTGAAAAGGAGGGAATCTTTCCTAATTCATTTTATGAAGCCAGCATCATCCTGATACCAAAATCTGGCAGAGATACAACAAAAAAAGAAAACTTCAGGCAAATATCCCTGATGAATATGGATACAAAAATCCTCAATAAAATACTGGCAAACTGAATCCAGCAGTCCATCAAAAAGCTTATCCACTATGATAAACTTGGCTTCATCAGGGGGATGCAAGGTTGGTTCAACATATACAAATCAAATGTAATTCATCACGTAAACAGAAGTAAAAATAAAAACTATATGATTTTCTCAATAGACACAGAAAAGGCCTTTGATAAAATTCAACATCTCTTCACGTTAAAAATTCTCTATAAACTAGATATTGAAGTAACATACCTCAAAATTATAAGAGCCACATATGATAAGCCCACAACCAATATCATATTGAATGGGCAAAAACTGGAAACATTCCCCTTGAAAACCAGCACAAGGCAAGAATGCCTTCTCTCACCACTCTTAGTCAACATAGCATTGGAAGTTCTGGCCAGGGAAATCAGGGAACATAAAGAAATAACAGGTTTTTAAATAAGAAGAGAGGAAGTCAAATTGTCTTTTTTTGCAGATGACATGATTCTATATCTAGACAATCCTACCATCTCAGCTGTAAAGTTTCTTAAGCTGATAAGCAACTTCAGCAAAGTTTCAGGATACAAAATTAATATGCAAAATTTGCTAGCATTCCTGCACACAAACAACAGGCATGCAGAGAGCCAAATCATGAATGAACTCCCATTCACAATTGCTAAGAAGAGAATAATATACCTAAGAATACAGCTAACAAGGTATGTGAAGGACTTTTTCAAGGAGAACTACAAGCCAGTGCTCAATGAAATCAGAGAGGACACAACCAAATGGAAAAACATTCCACGCTCAAGGATAGGAAGAATCAATATTGTGAAAATGGCCATACTGCCCAAAGTAATTTGTAGTTTCAATGCCATTCCCATTAAACTACCACTGACATTCTTCACAGAATTAGAAAAAAACTATTTTAAAAATCATATGGAACTAAAAAAGAGCCCATAAAACCAAGACAATCCTAAGTGAAAAGAACAAAGCTGGAGGCATCACACTACCCGACTTCAATGCTACAAGGCTACAGTATCCAAAACACCATGGTACTGGTACAAAAACAGACACATTGACCGATGGAACAGAATAGAGAACTCAGAAATAAGACTGAACACCTACAACGATCTGATCTTTGACAAACTGACAAAAACAAGCAATGGAGAAAGGATTCCCTGTTTAATAAATGGTGCTGGGAGAATTGGCTAGCCATATGCAGAAAACTGAAACTGGACCCCTTCCTTACACGTTATACAAAGATTAAATCAAGATGGATTAAAGATTTAAATGTAAAACCCATAACTATAAAAACCCTAGAAGAAAATCTAAACAATACCATTCAGGATATATGCATGGCAAAGAATTCATGATGAAAACACCAAAAGCAATTGCAACAAATGCAAATCTTGATAAATGAGATCTAAATAAACTAAAGATCTTCTGCACAGCAAAAGAAGCTATCATCAGAGTGAACAGACAACATACAGAATGGGAGAAAATTTTTACAATCTAGCCATCTGACAAGGGTCTAATATCCAGTCGACGAGGAACTTAAACAAATTTACAAGAAAAAAAAAACACTTAAAAGTGGGCAAAGGACATGAATAGACACTTCTCAAAAGAAGACATACATGCAGCCAATAAACATATGAGAAGCTCAACATCACTGATCATTAGAGAAATGCAAATAAAAACCATAATGAGATACCATCTCCTGCCCGTCAGAATGGTGATTATTAAAAAGTCAAGAAACAACAGATGCTGGTGAGGTTGTGGAGAAAAACAAATGCTTATACACTGTTAGTGGAAATGTAAATTAGTTTATTCATTGTGGAACACAGTGTGGCACTTCCTCAAAGATTTAGAACCAGAAATACCATTTGGCCCAGCAATTCCATTACTGGATATATACCCAAAGGAATATAAATCCTTCTATTATAAAGATACATGCACACATATGTTCATTGCAGCAATATTCACAATAGCAAAGACATGGAATCAACCCAAATGCCCATCAACGATAGACTGGATAAAGAAAATGTGGTACATATACACCATGGAATACTATGCAGCCGTAAAAAGGAATGAGATCATGTCCTTTGCAGGGACATGGATGGAGCTGGAAGCCATTATCCTCGGCAAACTAACACAGGAACAGAAAACCAAGCACAGCGTGTTCTCACTTATAAGTGGGAACTGAAAGATGAGAACACATGGATACATAGAGTAAAACAACACACACTGGGGCCTGTCAGGGTGGGGAAGAGTTGCGAAGGGCATCAGGAAGAACAACTAATGGGTGCTGGGCTTAATACTTAGGTGATGTGTTGATCAGTGCAGCAAACCACTATGGCACACATTTACCACATAACAAACCTGCACATCCCGCACATGTACCTTGGAACTTAAAATAAAAGTTGATAAATAAATAAAAAAATAAGCATTTTAAAGTGCATTGATGTCAGGGTGATGCTTGGATAAGAAGATGGTGGAATAACATGGAAAAACAACATTATTCTAAATCTATGTGAGGAGGTTACCAAAATATCTTCTCATTTGCCAGGCAATTTTATTTTAGGAATTCATACATGGGAAATAATCAAACAAGTGCATAAAGACATATGTATACTAATGATGACAACAATATAATTTATAAAAAGAAAATAAAACTAGAAACAACCAAAATTGCCTGCAATAATAAAATTGGGTACATGAATTATGGTACATTCAAATAAAGGAATATGATGAGATAAAATGGAGGAAGCATATCTCTAATCCGAGGCATAAAAAGCACTTCATAGCAGATGAATAAGCAACATGTACAACATGAACCCATTCTTATAAAAATAACCTGTGTGTTCAAATATATTGCTACATATCCGAAAGAAAATTTACACACCAACATATTAATAACTTGTAGTGAGATTCATAAGTATACGTTATGATTTTAGGCACTTTTTGTACTTTCTTCTAATTTATATTTTTCTTAACTGTCAATAAAAGCAATAACATTTCTGCTTTATAAATCTCTACCTGAAAAAAAAAAATGCTACTTCACATTTAACATGAATTTAGGTTTAGAAATTATATTTGCTACCATATTTTTAGAACACAATTATTCCTTACTTACCTGAGATAGATTAAATTTAAAAATTGTTTCATTTCTTTTTTTTCCTTTTTTATTTTACATGTGCATAATGTGCAGTTTATTACATAAGTATATATGTGCCATAGTGGTTTGCTGCACCCATCAACCCATCATCTACATTAGGTATTTTTCCTATGGCTATCCCTCCCCTTGCCCCCCACCCCCAACAGGCCCCAGTGTGTGATGATCCCCTCCCTGTGCCCATGTGTTCTCATTGTTCAACTCCCACTTATGAGTGAGAATATACAATGTTTGGTTTTCTGTTCCTGTGTTAGTTTGCTGAGAATGATAGTTTCTAGCTTCATCCATGTCCCTGCAAAGGGCATGAACTCATTCTTTTTTATGGCTTCATAATACTCAGTGGTGTGTATGTGCCACATTTTCTTTATCCAGTCTCTCCATGATGGACATTTGTGTTAGTTCCAAGTCTTTGCTATTGTGAACAGTGCTGCAATAAACATACATGTGCATGTGTCTTTATAGTAGAATGATTTAAAATCATTTGGGTATATACTCAGTAATGAGATCACTGGGTCAAATGGTATTTCTAGTTGTAGGTCCTTGAGGAATCGTCACACTGTCTTCAACAATGGTTGAAGTAATTTACACTCCAACCAACAGTGTAAAAGCATTCCTATTACTCCACATCCTCTCTAGCATCTGTTGTTTCCTGACTTTTTAATGATCATCATTTTAATGGCATGAGTTGGTATGTCATTGTGGTTTTTATTTGCATTTCTCTAATGATCAGTGATGATAAGCTTTTTTCCTATGTTTGTTGGCCACTTAAGTGTCTTCTTTTGAGAAATGTCTGTTCACATCCTTCGCCCACTTTTTGATGGGGTTGTTTTTTTATTTTCTTGCAAATTTGTTTAAGTTCCTTCTAGATTCTGGATGTTAGCCCTTTGTCAGATGGAAAGTTTGCAAAAATTTTCTCCCATTATGTAGGTTGCCTGTTCACTCTGATGATAGTTTATTTTGCTGTGCAGAAGCTCTTTAGTTTCATTAGTTCACATTTGTCAATTTCAGCTTTTGTTGCCATTGCTTTTGGTGATTTAGTCATGAAGTCTTTGCCCATGCCTGTGTCCTGAATGGTATTGCCTAGGTTTTCGCCTAGGGTTTTTATGGTTTTAGGTCTTACATTTAAATCTTTAATCTATCTTGAGCTAATTTTTGTATAAGGTAAAAGGAAAGGATCCAGTTTCAGTTCTCTGCATATAGCTAGCCAGTTTTCCCAACACCATTTATTAAATAGGGAATCCTTTCCCCATTGCTTGTTTTTGTCAGGTTTGTCAAATATCAGATGGTTGTAGATGTGTGGTGTTATTTCTGAGGCCTCTGTTCTGTTCCATTGGCCTACATATCTGTTTTGGTACCAGTACCATGCTGTTTTGGTTACTGTAGCCTTGCAGTATAGTTTGAAGTCAGGTAGCGTGATGCCTCCAGCTTTGTTCTTTTTGCTTAGGATTGTCTTGGCTATATGGGCTCTTTTTGGTTCCATAACAAATTTAAAATAGCTTTTTCTAATTCTGTGAAGAAAGTCCATGATACCTTGATGGGGATAGCATTGAATCTACAAATTAATTTGCACAGTATGGCCATTATCATGATATTGATTCCTCCTATCCATGAGCATGGAATGTTTTTCCATTTGTTTGTGTCCTCTCTTATTTCCTTGAGCAGTGGTTTGTAGTTCTCCTTGAAGTGGTCCTTCACATTGCTTGTAAGCTGTATTCCTATGTATTCTATTCTCTATGTAGCAATCACTCATGATTTGGCTCTCTGTCTAGTACTGGTGTATAGGAATGTTTGTGATTTTTGCACATTATTTTGTATCCTGAGACTTTGCTGACGTTGCTTATCAGCTTAAGGAGTTTTTGAGCTGAGACGATGGGGTTTTCTAAATATACAATCATGTCATCTGCAAGCAGAGACAATCTGACTTCCTCTCTTCCTATTTGAATACCCTTTATTTCTTTCTCTGGCATGATTGCCCTGGCCAGAACTTCCAATATTATGTTAAATAGGAGTGGGGAGAGAGGTCATCTTTGTCTTGTGCCGATTTTCAAAGGGAATGCTTCCAGCTTTTGCCCATCCATGATGATACTGGCTGTGGGTTTGTCATAAACAGCTCTTATTATTTTGAGATACATTCCATCAATACCTCGTCTATTGAGTGTTTTTAGCATGAAGGGGTGTTGAATTTTATCAAAGGCCTTTTCTGCATCTATTGAGATAATCATGTGGTTGTTGTAATTGGTTCTGTTTATGCGATAGATCACATTTATTGATTTGCATATGTTGAACCAGCCTTGCATCCCAGGGATGAAGCTGACTTGATTGTGGTGTATAAGCTTTTTAATGTGCTGCTGGATTTGGTTTGACGAATTTTGTTGAAGATTTTCACATCAATGTTCATCAGGGATATTGGACTGAAATTTTCTTTTTGTGTGTGTGTCTCTTCCAGGTTTTGCTATCAGAATGATGTTGGCCTCATAAAAAGAGTTAGGGAGGAGTCCCTCTTTTTCTATTGTTTGGAATAGTTTTAGAAGGAATAGTAGCAGCTCCTCTTTGTACCTCTGTTTAATTCAACTGTGAATCCATCTGGTCCTGGGCTTTTTTTGGATGGTAGGCTATTAATTACTGCCTTAATTTCAGAATTTGTTATTGATCTATTCAGGGATTCAACTTCCTCCTGGTTTAATCTTGGGAGAGTGCATGTGTCCAGGAATTTATCCATTTTTTTCTAGATTTTCTGGTTCATTTGCATAGAGGTGTTTATAGTATTTTCTGATGATAGTTTGTATTTCTGTAAGATCAGCAGTGATATCCCCTTTATCGTTTTTTATCGTGTCAATTTGATTCTTCTCTCTTTTCTTCTTTATTAGTCTGGCTAGCAGATTATCTATTTTGTTAGTATTTTCAAAAAAACAGTTCTTAGATTCATTGATTTTTTGAAGAGTTTTTCATATCTCTATCTTCTTCAGTTCTGCTCTGAATTAGTTATTTCTTGTCCTCTGCTAGCTTTTGAATTTGTTTGCTCTTGCTTCTCCAAGTCTTTTAATTGTGATGTTAGGGTGTCAATTTTAGATCTTTCCCACTTTCTCCTGTAGGGATTTAGTGCCATAAATTTCCCTCTAAACACTGCTTTAGCTGTGTCCCAAAGATTCTGGTAAGTTTTGTCTTTCTTCTCATTGGTTTCAAAGAACTTATTTATTTCTGCCTTAATTTCGTTATTTACCCACTAGTCATTCAGGAGCAGATTGTTCAGTTTCCATGTAGTTGTGCAGTTTTGAGTGATTTTCTTAATCCTGAGTTCTAATTTGATTGCACTGTGGTCTGAGAGACCGTTTGTTACAATTTGTGTTCTTTTGCATTTGCTGAGGAGTGTTTTACTTCCAATTATGTGGTCAATTTTAGAATAAGTGTGATGTGCTGAGAAGAATGTATATTCTGTTGATTTGGAGTGGAGTGTTCTGTAGATGTCTATCAGGTCCACTTGGTCCAGAGCTAAGTTCAAGTCCTGAATATCCTTGTTAATTTTCTGTCTCATTGATCTGTCTAATATTGACAGTGGGGTGTTAAAGTCTCCCACTATTATTGTGTGGGAGTCTAAGTCTCTTTGTAAGTCTCTAAGAACTTGCTTTAAGAATCTGGGAACTCCTCTATTAGGTGCATATATATTTAGGATAGTTAGTGAATCTGGGTGCTCCTCTATTAGATGCAGATATATTTAGGATAGTTAGCGAATCTGGGTGTTCCTCTATTAGGTGCATATATATTTAGGATAGTTAGCTCTTCTTGTTGCATTGATCCCTTTACCATTATGTAATGCCCTTCTTTGTCTTTTTTCTGTTTGTTGGTTTAAAGGCTGTTTTATCAGAGATGAAGATCGCAACCCCTGCTTTTTTTTTTTTTTTTTTTTTTTTGCTTTCCATTTGCTTGGTAAATCTTCCTACAACCCTTTATTTTGAGCCTATGTATGTCTTTGTATGTGAGATAGGTCTCCTGAATACAGCACACTGATAGGTCTTGACTCTTTATTCAATTTGCCAGTCTGTGTCTTTTAATTGGGGCATTTACCCAAATTGCATTTAAGGTTAATATTGTTACATGTGAATTTGATCCTGTCGTTATGATGCTAGCTGGTTATTTTGCCCGTTAGTTGATGCGGTTACTTCATAGTGTTGATGGTCTTTACATTTTCATATGTTTTTGCAGTTGCTGGTAGTGGTTTTTCCTTTCCATATTTAGTGCTTCCTTCAGGAGCTCTTGTAAGGCAGGCCTGGTAGTGACAAAATCCCTCAGCATTTGCTTGTCTGTAAAGGGTTTTATTTCTCCTTCACTTATGAAGCTTAGTTTGGCTGGATATGAAATTCTGGGTTGAAAGTTCTTTTCTTTAAGAATGTTGAATGTTGACCTCCACTCTCTTCTGGCTTGTAGGGCTTCTGCAGAGATCTGCTGTTAGTCTGATGGGCTTCCCTTTGTGGGTAACCTGACCTTTCTCTCTGGCTGCCCTTAACATTTTTCCTTCATTTAAAACTTGGGGTTGCTCTTCTCAAGGTTATCTTCATGGTGTTATCTGTATTTCCTGAATTTGAATGTTGGCCTGTCTTACTAGGTTGGGGAAGTTCTCCTGGATAATATCCTGATGTGTGTTTTCCAACTTGGTTGCATTCTCCCCATCACTTTCAGGTACACCAATGAAACATAGTTTGGTTTCTACACACAGTCCCATGTTTCTTGGAGGCTTTTTTCATTCTTTTCTTTCTTTTTTCTCTAATCTTGTCTTCATGCTTTATTTAATTAAGTTGATCTTCAATCTCTGATATCCTTTCTTCTGCTTGATTTGGCCATTGATACTTGTGTATGTTTCACAAAGTTCTCATGCTGTGTTTTTCAGCTCCATCAGATCATTTATGTTCTTCTCTAAACTGGTTATTCTAGTTAGTAGTTCCTGTAACCTTTTATCAAGGTTCTTAGCTTCCTTGCATTGAGTTAGAACATACTCCTTTAACTCAGAGGAGTTTGTTATTACCCACCTTCTGAAGCCTACTTCTGTCAATTAATCAAACTCATTCTCCATCCATTTTTCTTCCCTTGCTGGCGAGGAGTTGTGATCCTTTGGAGGAGAAGGGGCATTCTAGTTTTTGGAATTTTCAGCTTTTTTGTGCTGGTTTTTCCTCATCCTCATGTGTTTGTCTACCTTTTGTCTTTGAGGTTGGTGACCTTCAGATGGAGTTTTTGAGTAGTCATCCTTTCAGTTGATGTTGATGCTATTGCTTCCTGCTTGGGAGTTTTCTTTCTAACAGTCAGGCTCCTCTTCTCCAGGTCTGCTGGAGTTTGCTGGAGTTCACTGGAGTTCACTGGAGTTCCACTCCAGACCCTGTTTGCCTGGGTATCACCAGTGGAGGCTGCAAAACAGCAAAGATTACTGCCTGCTCCTTCCTCTGGAAGCTTCATCTGAGAGGGGCACCTGCCAGTTGCTAGCCGGAGCTCTCCCGTATGAGGTGTCTGTTGGCCCCTGTTGGGAGGTATCTTCCCATCAGGAGGCCTGGGGATCAGGGACCCACTTGAGGAGGCAGTCTATCCCTTAGCAGAGCTCAAGCGCTGTGCTGGTAGAGCCACTGCTCTCTTCAGAGCCAGCAGGCAGGAACGTTTAAGTACAGCCACCCCTTCCCCCAGGTCCTCTGTCCCAGGGAGATGGGAGTTTTATCCATAAGCCCCTGCCTGGGGCTGCTGCCTTTCTTTCAGAAATGCCCTGCCCAGAGAGGAGGAATCTAGAGAGGCAGTCTGGCTACAGTGGCTTTGCCGAGCTACGATGGGCTCTGCCCTATCTGAATTTCCCGGTGGCTGTGTTTATACTGTGAAGGGAAAACCGCCTACTCAAGCCTCAGTAATGGCAGACGCCCCTCCCCCCAAGCTTGAGTGTCCCAGGTCACCTTCAGACTGCTGTGCTGGCAGCAAGAATTTCAAGCCAGTGTGTCTTAGCTTGTTGGGCTCTGTGGGGGTGGGATCCACTGAGCAAGACTACTTGGCTCCCTGGCTTCACTTTCCTTTCCAGGGGAGCGAACGGATCTGCCTCACTGGCGTTCCAGGCACCACTGGGGTATGAAAAAAACTTCCTGCAGCTAGCTCATTGTCTGCCCACACAGCCACCCAGCTTTGTGCTTGAAACCCAGGGCTCTGGTAGTGCAGGCACCCGAGGGAATCTCCTGGTCTGTGGGTTGCAAAGACTGTGGGAAAAGCATAGTATCTGGGCCTGAGCTCCATCCCTCACAGCACAGTCTCTCATGGCTTCCTTTGGCTAGGGGAGGGTGTTCCCCAACCCCTTGCACTTCCCTGTGAGGCAACACCCCACCCTGCTTCGGCTCACCCTCTGTGGGCTGCACCCACTGTCTAACCAGTCCCAATGAGATGAGCCAGGCACCTCAGTTGGAAATGCAGAAATCACTTGCCTTCTGTGTTCGTCTCACTGGGAGCTGCAGATGGGAGCTGTTCCTATTTGGCCATCTTGCCCGGGAATAAAAATTGTTTCATTTCTTAAAGAAAAATGGACTTTGACAATCTCTATAATAATGTAAAGGAATGTATCTTTTATTTCTCCATTTCCTCATATTGATGAGATTGTCATATTAAATAAAATAGGATAGCAAAGTTTGGCCCTATCACTTTAATTAATGTCTATAAGTTAGAGGATTAATATTATATTCAGATGTACTAGAAAGCATCTGAAGGCAATATACTGATAGCAAATGGAAAAACATCCCAAAGATATCTGACAGGGTACACAAATTCATTTATGTAGATTTATGGTAGAGCAGTGAGTCTGTCATGTGTTATCTTCTGAGATCAGACATCCTTGTTTATCACAGTGTGATATTTTGAAATATTATCAATTCATTATTGCTACAAGAACTGTAATATGGATAGGTGCATATGATCATTAGTGATATTCCTTATACTGATGATGTTTTACTCTTCTTAAAATAGTTCTTCCTGTATACTCAAAATTCCAAGACAGTATAAGCAGCTCATAAACTGGTAATGTAGGAAAAGAGCATTTGGTGAAGTTAATCTTATAACAAAAACAAAATAGAGGCTGCAAAGAGATTTGGCAAAAATATAGGGTTATTTTAAATTTTGAGGAAATTATGAATATTTTTAACGCATAAAGTCTTTTGTAAAATTATTTTTTACAGATTACCATTTGACTTACAAGGAGTTAATTAAAAATTATTCTGAAAAATTATGTGCCTTTTTTTAAGAACATGGGACTTTCTACAAGAGAGACTGGCAAATCTACAAGATTTCAAGCAAATTCAAGTTATAAAATTAAGCAGTCACAGCTATGATGGTATTTTAATTCTTCCATTCTGTTGTGACCATTCCAGATTCTTTTTAAATAAAAAATTAAGACATTTAAAAAGCTTCTGTTTATTTTAGCCATGAAGAAAGACGGTTTTGTTTCTTCATATTAAAAAATGGTTATGTTTAGCTCATTTATCCAGACCTTGAAATTGATCTTTCATTTACTATAAGTCTGTAAATAATTTTATAATATTTATAAAGAAAACTGGCAGTGACATTTATTGGTCTACATCATCCAGGGAAGCCAGAAAAGCATACATTTTATATACTTTAATTAAAATTTACTTCAACTGTATGTTAAACTCCTTCCAAATACTGACATTTTAGATAAAGCCCATGAAATGTGTATTTTAAATTTAAAAAGAAAAACAAAACGACTTTATAAGAATTTCGACAATGAATGCAACTTTTACCATTTTAACTAGCCAGTTTCCTGAAGACATTAAATGTGGAAAATGATGCTAAGCAAATTAAGCAAAGACACAATAGCAGAACCATATAGTCTTTGAATATAGGAATGTCTCACTCCAAAGTGCATGTCTTTTTCAGGGCACCACACACTGTTACTACACATATGATCTACATTCTAGACTGGAGAGAGAAGAGGGTTTTCCTTAACTTCAGCAAACAAACCACGTGCATGAAATAAAGGAAAAAGTTGGTTCAACAGAGTCCATGAGAAAATCCTTAGAAGGGCTGACAGCAATCAAATAAAATGGCATATTTGCCCATAAGCTGCTGTCAACTCGGGTGGCTTTAATAAATAAAAGTCACTGGTTGGCCGGGCACAGTGGCTTATGCCTGTAATCCCAGTACTTTGGGAGGCCGAGGCAGGCAGATCACCTGAGGTCAGGAGTTCGAGACCAGCCTGAACAACATGGAGAAACCCCATCTCTACTAAAAATACAAAATTAGCCGGGCATGGTGGTACGTGCCTGTAATCCTGGCTAGTCAGGAGGTTGAGGCAGGAGAATCGCTTGAACCTGGGAGGCAGAGGTTGCAGTGAGCCGAGAGCACACCATTGCACTCCAGCCTGGGCAACAAAGGTGGAACTCCATCTCAAAAAAAAAAAAAAAAGTCATTGGTTAACAGCACCACCACTATTCTGTAAACAAAGCAAGCATCTCTGGAGTATAAATTCTGGTGCTCCATTTTAAGAGGGGCATTAGCAAACAGGAGAATAACCAAAATACTGAAAGAATAGTCAAGATATTGAGGAATATTCACCTATGACAAAAGAGCATGATAACTATCTGATATGGCTTTGTTGTGCCCCACCCAAATCTCAGCTTTAATTCCCACGGGTTGTGGGAGGGACCCAGTGGGAGGTAATTGAATCATGGGGGCAGTCTTCCCCATGCTGTTCTTGTGATAGTGAATAAGTCTCATGAGATCTGATGCTTTTAAAAACAAGTCTCCCTGCACAAACTCTGTCTTTGCCTGCTGTCATCCATGTAAGATGTGACTTGCTCCTCCTTGCCTTCCGCCATGATAGTGAGGCTTCCCCAACCATGTGGAACTGTAAGTACATTATAAACCTCTTTCGTAAATTGCCCAGTCTCAGGTATGAGTTTATCAGCAGGATGAAAATGAACTAATATACTATCTTTATGTATTTGGAGGTCCATCATGACTTATGTCCTTCCTGCTGGCATTAAAGAAAAAAAACTAAGACTAAAATATGGAAAATGATTTGAGATTAGGTAGGTAAGTACTTGCTCTTCACTGGACTATTACAAAATGAAATGGAATTCCTTGTCAGGCAGTAATCTCTCTCTCAATGAAAATGCACAAATTCAAAATGATAAACATGTGACCACCTATCTGGAAGCCATGGACATGATGACTTCACAGAGTGGGCAGTAGTCACTAAAATTCCTACCCTCAATAAAATTATCCAATTTGGGTAAAATTATACAATTTTCCTAAACTATAGTCTTTTTTTAATGAACGATTTTGTTGTTGTTGTTGTTGAAATAAGACGTAAAATGCTAAATCCATAGGTTGATTTTAATTCCCTAATTCCAGTTATTAGCTTTTCTACTTAGCAATTATTCCTTCCTCCTTTTCCTTCCTCCTCTCTACTTCTCCTCTTCCCTCTCCCATGCCCCCTTCTTTACCTCTTCTTCTTCTCTCTGACTTTCTAACAAACACCTTCTTAGCAATTACTATGTGCCAGGCACTACTCTAAATACATTTAAAAGCTCTTTCATTTAATCCTTACTATAACCAATGAGAAGGTGATATTTATTATACACCTCCTTTAGTCAGAGAAAGGTTAAGTAACATGTCCAAGATCACACCAATAAATTTGCTTCTACCACATTTGATTTCTAAATAGTGCTTAACATTGGAAAAAAATTAGCAATGTGCAAAAGGAACCAATTTGTTTATCTTGAGCAGCCAGGTATAAGAGAGTCGCAGCCAGACGAGGAAAACATTTTAGGGAAACATAATTTATATGTTTTTTTAAACTTCAGCAGAAGGAAAGATTATAAAATTAAATGGAATAATAAAGTTAGGAAAGGACCCACCCAAAATTATTTAGATGCCAAAGTAAGCCAATCTCAGCTGTTCTTCTCTACTCTGCCTGCCATCCTCAGCAAAAGCAGTATGGGAGAGAGTGTGGGCAACCGGCTGCAGTAGCAGCTGGGCCTATTTGTTAAGAGGAAAAAAAAAATAGTCATTGAGGATAAAGGGAGATTTTGGGTGTCTAGCAGTGTGAGTGGAAACTTGGAGCTTGGCTGGGGAGTCCCAGAAGTGAAAAGCAGCAGTGCTGTCATCAACAAAATTGCAATATTACACACACCATTCACAGGGAGATCACTCCCTGAAGTAGTTCCTTAACTGGCAAGAATTCTTTTCCACCCATAGCAAAACAACCAATGGCAATTTTGTATTTGTTTTCTCACATTAACAGTATTCTAGACATTCAAAAATGAAGCACTACCAACTCTGCTAACTATCCAATAGATATAAATTAGCTGACTAAAAGGACAAATGGCATTTCTAACTTAAAACAATATATTACTATTACTATTTGTTGACTAATATAAAAACTTAAGTGTCTAATACGCATAATATTATATTCTAAACATAACCACATACAATAAAATCCTTGAATTGTATTTTATGTCCCTTGAGACCAGTACTATAGAAGGCATCTAACGTGTTTCTGAGTGATAACTGCTTTATTAGTGTGTAAGCTATCTCATTGGTAATGGTTTTTTAGTTTTCTCATTTTTATTCTTGTTTAACTTTATTAATTTTTAAATTAGAGATAATTCAGTTTTTTTTCTCCAGATAGGAAAAATCCTTCTGCAATCCTAAAATATATCAGACTTCAGTTTGGGCATACACATTTTGGAGCAAGCAAAAAACATTTGGCAAAAAAATCTGTCAAAAACAGTGCCCAGTACATAACTTTTGTCTTACTTCTGAGCAGTATAATGACAAAATGCTATTTCATTCTTTTGATTGTTTTTTTAATTGTATAGTTGACTTACCTATAATATTTTCCTTCTTATTATGGTTATTTAAATATTATTACAAGCGAATTTTGCTTTGGGGAATTACAAGGAAATTAAACCATATGAATGTGTTACAGGAGTTTAAACACATTAACTTCTTATGACTGTAACAATATAATAATAAAATCAATATTTTGGGTGGCTCATTAAAGCCATTCTAGTATTTTATAGTCCTATCTTCTCCATCTACTTTCTTCTTTCTGGACAAAATAAGAAAAAATTATTTTCTTTCTCATATTAATGGAAATAAACAATGATTTGGATAATTGAATGTCCCAACAACTAAAATTATAACATTTGACTTTGAAAAAAGTTCTTTCTCTTTATAATTTACGTTTTGATTATGGGTGATATGGTTATTCTAAGAATATACCATATGGTTAGCTCAAGTTTATCCAGACCTTAAACTGATGGCAAGCTCAATATTCTAGTACTCATTCTAACCAATTATAAAGTATTTGTGGTTACCATTCATCTGACCAGAAATATGTGTAACACTTATGCTTTGTGACAATGTCAAGCTTAAAATTACTTTTTCCTTTCTTTATTTTCTGTTTGCTTTTATTATATTATTTATTTTGCTTAGGATCAGGAAAAATAAGTTATGTCAGTTTCATCAATAATACGCTGTTTTCAAAAGAAATTATTTTTTCCTTACCATTATTTTTCCTAACCCTTTCTTTAAACATATATCATTTTTGCTTTGCTCAGGATTATAGAAGTGATCCTAATTTCTATAGACTTCTTTTTATAGATTATCTTTAGTTTCTAAAAATAAAATAATCCAGTGCTTCCCATTTCTATTTTTATTTACTCTTTATAATAATAAGGTATGGTGACAAATGTGTGCTTTCTTCTTAATATGACATTTCTATTTATGCCCATTAGTTTACAGTTTGTGTTAAGTGCATTGTATTTAATTAATTATAGTATAGTACCAAAAAAAAACAAACTTAAGGATATAGCATTTCAAAATATATTATCAATTGATTTTGATAAATTAAGTACATGAAAAAACATTTTTTCTTGGCTTATAGATATAGTAAAATCTTAGTAAAATGAAATTTTCATAAGTTCTTTCTCAAATAACCTGGGTTGAGAAAGTCAAATAGCTTTCATAAACTAAGTAGAATGATAAAACATAGCCATTGCTTTTCCTTCTCACTATGTTACTACCAATAGCTGTGCTTTTAAAATGATAAATGAAAGACAAATGGCCAAATTATTCATAAAACTTTTGCACAGAGACAGACTGACAAAAAAAAAAAAAATCTTGCTTTGGTCAATTGGGCCTTTCTGAAAAAAAACAAAGATGGGTAAATTATCACTCTTTCCCAGTTCTGACTTTCTTTTCTTTCTGCTTTGTCATGGTATTCTTGTATTCATTCTTTTTCTCTGTTTCTTCATAATTTGTCACTGTAGAAATGAATGAAATTGGAAATTGGGAGATCATGATTGGAGCAAGTGGGAAGAAAAGTTGAGTCAAATGTGACAATAATCATTTGAATGGCCCAGATGAATTCATACTGTCCTCTGCCACAGCCTCAAACTATATCTTTTAATAATTTACAGATATTTTCTGAATAATTTTAAAGCAGTCCTGGATTTCTCTTCAGAACTTTTGTAATGGAAGAGTTGAAGCCAAACTAGTGCCTAATATGTTGCAAAAGGGGCAGAAGAGAAATAGTCTCATCATATCTCCTGTATTCTCAATGCTCTCCCAACACTATCATTTCATTTTCTGCCATCTCTGTTAGGAATTGTATGTGGTATTCAGCAAAAGAATTAAGATTGGTAACACTAGTGTGAATAGATATAGATATGTATCTATATAGATAGAATTAAATTCTGTATATTAAATGCAATACATAAAGTATATTCAGTACCTAAAGTTTATTAGATTCTAAGATTTGAGCAATAAAATGCAATATAACTGCCCTCAGTATTTTCAGACTCTAATTGTGAATTTGTAGTAATCATATTTCTCATACAAAAAATCTGAAAATTCCTCAAAGCCATTTAGAAATGGGGGAAATTAAATTTAGCAAGGACAAAGAACGTGTGATACTAGTGTGTGTGGTAGAGTCATGTTCCCAGTGGAATTAAGTTAATTTCTGGGAGAATACAGTGCATTATATGCAGTGGGATGATTGTGGGCACATGGCAGGATGGTGCAAGGCAAGGTATGACATAGCTAATTTGTTCATAACATCTTGCCCAAGCTCCTCCTGTTCATGTTCAAGACTGAGCTTTGGGTCTCTTTTCAGCCCCAACTTCATGCTTTCATAGCATCCCTTGATATATAAAAAAAGCACCCTACTTTATTACGACCTGTCTCCTTTTACAACTGGATCTTAAGCTTCTTGAGAACTGGGTTTGACTAAAAGCTATGTGTGAGAGTGTGTGTGTGTGTGTATGTGTGTGTGTGTGTGTGTGTGAAACTTCTTATTTTAAAATAGTTTTAAATTTACAGAACAGTTATGGTGAGTACAGAGAGTTCCCCTATACCTATACCTAGCTTCCCTTGTTTACAATATACATTGTATGGTACATTTATCAGAGTTAATAAACCAATATTGATACATTATTATTAATTAAAATTCATACTTTATTTAGATTTCCTTAGTTTTTATCTAATAATCCTTTACTATCCCAGGATTCCAAACAGTATACCACATTATGTTTATAAAACTGGATTTTTTATTCTTAAAATCCTAGCATGATGCTCAGTACCTAAAGCATTGAAGAAGCTGAACAAATACTTATAAATGATTTAATAATAAGCCAAATCTACTTAAAAATTATAGGCTCTTTTAATTCTCTGAAGGCAATGATATGGTTTGGCTCTGTGTCCCCACCCAAATCTCACCTTGAATTGTAATAATCCCCATGTGTCAAGGGTGGGACCAGATGGAGGTAATGAATTATGAAGGCAGTTTCCCCCATGCTCTTCTTCTGACAGTGTGTGAGTTCTCGGGAGATCTGATGGTTTTATAAGGGGCTTTTCACCTTTTGCTCTGCACTTCTTCTGCTGCCATATGAGGAAGGATGTGTTTGCTTCCCCTTCTGCCATGATTGTAAGTTTCCTGAGGCCTCCTCAGCCCTGTGGAACTGTGAGTCAATTAAACCTCTTTCCTTTATAAATTATCCAGTCTCTGGCAGTTCTTTTTTTTTTTTTTTTTCATTCAAAATATTCTGCTAATTTAACGTATATTTTAGAAAGAGGAGATCCTTACAAGGCGGTAGGACAGTGGTTTCTGGGCTGGTGTCCAAGATCAAGGAGGAAATTGTTGTATTCTGTCCCTTGAAAAGATTATGATAGTTAACAAATGCACATGGTCACTTTACCTATTATTAATGTGATTAAAATTAAAGTGTTTAAAGCAATAAACTTTGTTAATTACTCATTATATATAGCTATCCACTATTTCCCAAAGCTATATCCATTGATTTTACCCCAAAAGAATTTAAGGGAAAAAACTTTAGAAAGCCTTTCTCTATGATAACATAGCATCCTGTGCACTCTGAAATGAATTATGTGTTTTAATATGTATATTGTGTGGAAACAACACAGCTTTATCGTGCATGGTGAGCAATGAGGTCATTCATAACAATATTAATGGAATGTCTTAATTTTATCACACTGTTGGGCAGTTCTTTATAGCAACATCAGAGCAGATTAATACAGGCCATGACCAAGATGTATAACAAAGGGGATGAAGTGGTAAGCGACATCTAATTTCATTTCTCCAGGAAAACTTCTCTTTGAGACATGGAAGAATTTTTGAATTTTATAAAATGCTTTTCCATGATCGATCCATATTAGATGTTTTCTCATCAGAACTCAATCATAGCTACATCATGCTACAATTTACACCATCAATAATCTTTAAAAATATTTAAATTATGTGCTAAATTGTCATCAATGAATAGGCACACTTTATATTTAATACAAAAATATGCAGATAATGGTAATATAGTTAGATATCTATGAATCTAAGTATATTTATCAAGATCAAGGCTGTGATTTGGACATTCAACAACACCCTTAACCTAGGGGATGAAGCTAAAGGAGGAATAAATGAAAAAGGTAATATGAGCTTGAGGCTTTTTTGTAGCATCCTTCCACACACACAGCCCAGTGTTTCTCATAGCTGAGTCTTCACTAAGAATCACACACAGGACTTGTTAAAACAGAGATTCCTGGCCGGGCGCGGTGGCTCACGCCTGTAATCCCAGCACTTTGGGAGGCCGAGGCGGGCGGATCACGAGGTCAGGAGATCGAGACCATCCCGGCTAAAATGGTGAAACCCTGTCTCTACTAAAAATACAAAAAATTAGCCGGGCGTAGTGGCGGGCGCCTGTAGTCCCAGCTACTTGGGAGGCTGAGGCAGGAGAATGGCGTGAACCCGGGAGGCGGAGGTTGCAGTGAGCCGAGATCCCGCCACTGCACTCCAGCCTGGGCGACAGAGCGAGACTCCGTCTCAAAAAAAAAAAAAAAAAAAAAAAAAAAAAACAGAGATTCCTGAGCCTCAGAATTATTGATTCAGTAGATCTGATTCAGCAGCTCCCAGGGAATGCTGATGTTGCAGTCCATGGACCACACTCTGTGTAGCATTCATTTAACTCCAGTTTCCATCTCCTTTCTGACCCAGCTCAGAAGCAGAGCAGAAGAAAATTATAGTAACATCATCTCCTGTGCAATGTAATTCAATCAAGACTTCCTGCAGGTGAATTATTTAGCAGTAGCTCTGAACCTTCTAAAAAATAAAGTTAGCCTTTATAGTTGTGTTATTTTGACCATAATATGGAAGCCAACTAAATATATATACATTTCAATTCAGTAGATACCAAAGCCCAGGCGGTAATTATAGCCTTTAGGAATGATTTGAAGTGAATTTATTCCATCCCCAAGGGTCTTACAAAAAATTACTCCTTGCCCTGAAGGACCTTTAAATATATTTAAAAACAATTACATAAATTAGAAAGTATTATAAGATACTATAACACCATATCATTCATCTTTGTGATACATTTAAATTTTTTTCTACCAAAACCATACGAGATAGGAAGTGTTCATTAGTCCCTTTATAATGATGAGGAAAGGAAGCCTCAGTTCGATGATTTAGCAAGAATAAGACAGCATCAAATAAAATATACTGTAGATTCAAAAATTGTAAGTCTATACCCTTTCCACTACAGCATACTATCTCCTAATACAAGTTTCAGAAGTGTTTTGGAGAAACACTTCTGAAGCCTGGTAAGGAGAAGAAAGGAGCCCTACATTTCTATACTTGGAAAGGACCTGAAGTTCATAATAAACTTTGTGACTCAGTGTTAGGAAAAAAGCAATCAGGAGGAGTAAACAGCTATACACAATGCTGAGAGTACATTTCCTATTTGACTTTACTTCCACAGTGTATCTTAAAGCCCCTCTCCATTCCCATCATTTCCTGGGAAAGAACAAGTCAGGAGGGAAAGAGTCAGTGTCCTCAGCTGACCTCTGTTTTCACCCTCTTTTATTCTCATTTTCTTTGCTGCTGTTCTTTTCCGGTTCTGAAGTTGATCTGGCTACCTAAAATCACCCCTGGGACTTATTCTTAGGGATTCTGTTCCACCACTCTATCCTGTAAATAAAACCCCCTTTTTATTCTGGTTTCCCTAAATTAAAGCTCAAAACTCAGAGAAAACAAACCAAAAGTGCATAGAAATAGGTTTACATCAATAATATTTTAACTGACATTTAACTCCAGTTTAGCTACAGAATACTTGGCTGGCAGGCTCTGCTCTCTCCTGTGCAGTGCCCTAATTCCTCTCCTCTCCAATTGCCACAATCCCATGTTGCCTGAGAGCATCAGCTTCCCAGCGGAAAAACAGGTTGGAGAAAGAGGGCACATTGTCCAGGTGGCTAGTAAGCTATTTACTTAGTATTTCATTATTTCCTACATCATGGATTTCAACCAATTTTCAATACCTAGTAAGTTTAAAGTTTTTCTAAAAAATTCAAAGGTTATGTTTTATATTTATTGTGTTAAACAAAAATGAAACAAATATTGAAGGTACACAGAAGGCCAATGAATACATATCTTTCACTAAAAGTATGTTTTCTTTCCCCTTTTGGCTTAAGGTGAGGAAGAAATCAAAAGTATTTATCTGGAAGAGAAGTAGAAGAAGAGAAAAAGAGAGAAGGGGTGGTGCCAGCCTCACAAAGGGGTACACAGAATTAAGTAAAAACAGAAAGGGAGGAGGGGGTATAGTGATAACCCAGAAATGACAAGGATAACACAAGACAGATAGAAGGAGGAGGAGGAGAGGAAGAAGAGAAAGAGAAAGAGAAGGAAGAAAAACAAGAGGAAGGAAGTAGAGAAAAAGGTGGAGGAGAGAATGTAGATGAAAGAATTCAACTGATGTGTCAGGAGGGTGCCTGGAGGTCCCAGCTGTTTCACTAAATGCAGCACTGATGAGAAAGAAGGTGAATAGACAGAAAGCCCCAGCCTTTTCTCTAACATATGTTATGCTAAAGGGGCTATAAATAGTTGTCCAGGATTCCTCAGTTTCATGGGTATTCCTGCTTATCCCACCCCATCATCTTTTCCTTTGAAAAACACAGTTCTAAATCATTTTGTTTTATTCAGATACTCACTTGATGAGCACTTGTTGAATGCCTACTAAGTGTCAGGAACTGTGCATGGCACCAGATATCTTACCTGTTCATCTAAGGGAAGGCAAAGTGGGAGACTTTCTTTCACTTTCCAAGTAAACAACACATGCTGAGCTGATAGCTGCCTATAGGACACTGTTTAGTTTAACTTTAGGCAGTGTGGTCTGGCCTTAGTAATATTAGTTCTATTGTGCGTTACAAAGCTGGGCCTACAATTACCTTTGTTAGTACTGTTTATTTTGTGGATTTGGTCTGTTGTCTCCAAGGTGCCATCAGATAAAATTCCAACTTTCCTTAAAGTATAAACAAAATAATTCTTACAATAACTTACAAACATGAGAGACATCAATATTCTTTGCTCCTTCTAGTTATCTACTCTAATAAGAGCTGGTGTTCATTAAAGAAAATCTTTGCTTTTAAGTAAAAATCTGATGTTAAGGATCTCTCTTCATCTTAAGTTGTAATTTAACAATTAGCTCATGATTGCTTTTAGAATAAAAAAGAGAACAGCATAGATTAATTCTCTCTGAATCTCATCTGATTTACTGAGTAATTTATAAAAAGCTTCCTAAGGGTTAAGTATTCTGCACAGTAATCTGCATTATCTCATGTAATCCTTTCAAATTTTTGCAAATTATGTTTTACCACTTTAAAGATAAGAAAATGCATATTCAGAAAACCTAAGTAACTTGCTCATGCCATGCAGTCTGAAGCCAGATTCAAATTAGATATGCCTCATCCAAAGTCTAGGGGGTTTTAGGCCACTGAAATTCGAATGTAAGAGTGTTTTCTAATACCTGGGCTTAAACTAGCTGCTATGTTTCCTATGCCAAAGCTACAAACTAAATCCTTGAGCATAGCACAGTGATGGCTGAGAGTTTAGGTACCAAGGATGGTAGTGAAACACATTTCTAAGTCCCAGAAATCAGGCATGACAATAGATTTCTCTTTTATTTTTTCATACCAGTTGTGGAGGTAAGGTTACCAAGGCAAAGGAGCCCTATGGTTAGAATATCCTGAAATAGGTGTTAGAACTAGGGCTGAAAACTTCTCGAGTAATCAGTTGTCTTGGCCACCATAGGGCCATATGAAGGAAAGATATCAATTCTGCAGAGATGTCTTTTCTTGAAGTCATCACTGTTTTTGACCAAAAATGTTCTCTTAATATCAGAGACTGCAACACTTGGTGTAAATGTGGTATGGACATGTCCTGTTCATTCCTAGTCCAGAATATCCAGACTATAAAATATCCAGTCTTGTCACTATCATTCCTATCATGAGTGCAAAGAATAATGCTCACTTAAGACTAAGGAATTAATAATAACACTGATGTTTTCTCTTATGCCTCCAATGTTATTTAAGGCTTTACTGTGAAAAAAAATATCAAAATAACCATCATCCTTTGTATAAGGTACAGAGTATTACAAAGTGTCATATGTTACACTAGAAACTACTAACTTATGGCCCTGTCTATTAAAACCAAGAAAATAATCTAAATCTTCATTCTGCACCCTTTGGAAAATATTATAAATGGTATAATTTTAGTTTAGTTTTGTTTTTAACTCTCAGAGACTGAAATTATAAGACTTTAACACTGGGATGGCTATGTATGAAGGGGCATGCATGCATGCAAAGTGATATTTCTGGATTCCTGCAGACTAAATTCCTCTATTAAACCACAGAAGAGTTTTATATACAAAGATAAAGAAATACATCTTTGCACACACTCCCACTAAGAAGTCTCAATGATGATTCCTTTAAATGTCTTTGATGAAATAAAACTGACTGAGCAGATTGTTAGCAATAATTTTCACCAGTAACAACCAATTTCATGGTTTGGTGCTTTATTATGTGGTCATAGAACTGAGGCCACCAAGTGATCTCATCCCAAAAAGAAACAGAGGCCCTCTCTGTGTAATACTCTCAGCTCTGACTAGATGACAAATCTGACCTGGATAGCAAAACAACAATATGACAACATAATTTTTAAAGCATATTTCATTATGACATCATAGCTGTTGAATATATTTATTAACAAAGAACAGGCATTGATTATATATTATGTATAGAATACTTCCCTTGTAAAGCTGAAAAAATGATTTGATACACATAAATTTTCCACTCCAAAATTGACCCAGTTCATATATAAATTCACTGTTTATATATGAACTGTTTTTTCCTAACCCTGAGCTTCCCTCACCCTATTACCATACTAAAAGATAACTGTTTTCCCACTGTAAAATGCAACATCCAGATAAGAATTTAATAATTCATAGAAACATTTGGGGACTTTCATATATCCAGATGCACTGATGTGATACATGGACAATATTTGTCTGTAGCAAATATAAAAATGCAAATAATAGCACTCTAAAATTCATAGGAAGGCTCTCTCCACAGAAAGCATATTTTATATAAAGCAGACTCAACAAAACATATTGTAATTTCTCACAACTTATCCAGTGATATTTTTTATAATATAAACTATTTCTTAATAAATCCACCACTTAATTCTCACTGTCTCTCCCTGAAGCTCTGGGCACATAGGCTAGTGTTTCCTCCTGGGTCCTATTTAATCACTCTGCTTATGAATCATGTCTTATGACCAGTTTTTATTTATTAACACCCAGAGATGTGTGACTAATGTCACTATTGATAATACCAGGCTATTGGATGAGGAACCAAAGCTATGAGCTGGGTCAGGAAAAACTGGCTCAGTCACTACCTCATGTTTTATTTGCCTTGGGTATAAAATAAATACCATGGCCTCCAGAATGATCATTCAGAATATTTATTTAACATTGTGCTCTTTTAGAATTCTCTGTCAATTATTTTCTTGTAAATGGAATGAATTCTAAAATGTGTGTTGTAGAGTGAATACATGTAACAAATCGATATGTGTACACTACAGCAAAAAAAAAAAATATATAGGCCATGAATCTTGGAAAATTCACATACAATGTAATCATCTTCTGAGTTATTATAACTAGAGGTCAAAGATATGGAAGATGAAATTTGGAGTGAGTGCAATCTATCAAGATAAATCATATGTTTTATGCGATTTAAGAGCAACTTTATCCTGTCTTCTATATTAGCATTATCCTAGCACTTGTTGAAATATAAACTCATAACATTTTCAAGGTTTTTCTCTTTAGGACCTGTTTCCTTCCAATTTTCTCACTTTGTATCAGTCTGCAAAAACATTAATAATATAAATAGTTTTTAGGTGATAAGGTGCATTCACAGATATTGTTGTTTCACTTGATTATCTCAAAAACCCAGTAAAATGTACAGGCAAATTACCATTACTACCCCTATTTTCAAATAGAGGAAACTGAGATGCAGACAATTAATTATCATTATTATAAGTGGGGAGTACAGAGCTGGAGTAGAGGCCTCTGATTTCAAATCCTGAGCTCTCTGAACTATGATAAATCTGTATTTAATTGATTATAATACCCAATACAGATACACTAATTAACACTCTATCACAAGTTCTATCTGCATAAGTATATATTCCATGTTTAAATCTACATGTATAATGTTAACATATTTTAGGAATGCTCTTCTGCCATATCCATGCCTTTATTTAAATGTCTCTTCACCAACTATTCTAGGAGAACATTTTATGCTTAAGCAGCAATTCTCCTTGATTTCTGCAACTGCATTCTTGCTTATTGAGACTTCAAACACCTACCCCTGTCTGCCAAGCTCCCATGATTGAATTTCTGGGGCTTTCCATGTACATCGGTATTTCTTGCTCAACATAGGTCTTGGCTTATTTGTTTTTTCTTCTCTGAGCTCCATTATCAAGAAGCTTATTTTTGCCTTCCCTGTAACCTCATTAGTGCAGGATGGTGAAAGATAAGGAGAGAACAGATATCAACAGAAGGAAGTAGATGAATCCACCAGGACTTTTCTCCCTTCATTCTCTCTTTCCTTGGTTTCTGTCCTGAGGACCACAGTATTTTTCAAAGAAACCCTTGGGGAAGAATATTAAAATTTTGCATTAATCTCACCAATATTACCCTATTGAGCTGGGATAAAGTTAGCTATAATGCATAACTATTCATGAACTTTTAAATATTTGCCTGATACAGCCAAACTCAACTCAAATCTTGACTGAAAATTTTTACAAAGCAGGACAGCATCTTGCCATTTTAATCTTTGCTACATTTTTACTTATTAATGTAATTTACCTTGTAACTAGAAAATACATTAAAAGATTTATGTATTGCTTCAACAAGAGTAATTATCTCATCATTTTATCCACCAGGCTTGCCCTAAGCCAGTATATTTTCTTAATATTAGTGTGCAGTGAGATATTCAGTTAGAAGAGAGAGGGATTCAATATTACCCCATTGGGGCACAAGGCAGTAGGAAATCAACTAGAAAATATTCCACACCTCTTACTACCCTTGTACCTTGTCTCCTTCTCTCTCTCTCTCTCTCTCTCTCTCTCTCTGCCTTTTCTCCTCTTTAATCCTAATGATCCCTTCCTTTCCAGCTCTAGTTAAGAACATGTCATTCCCAGAAATAGTAATGGAGAATGAAGGGGAGAGGAAAAGGGCAAATCTCTGGACATTTTTTTTCTGAACATATTTTTATATAATTTAACTCACGCTCTGTATATGATAAACTTTCTCCTCCTCCTTGGGAAGAAACAATAGGCTTGTGTTTTCATCTTAAAAGTGAAGAATATGAGAAAAATGCCTGCCTTTCTCCCATACAGCTTAGATCATTAACTGTGAAAAGAATTTCTGAATTATTCTAGTAGGCTATCTCCAGGGAGCCTCCTGGATTTCCTTGCTAGTGGTCAGGCAGCGGTACAGAGATGCTATATGACATATACCTAGTGCCTCTTATATTGAAAGATTATATACTCATTTAAATATTAATTACTTAATTCACTCGCTACTGAACACTTGTCGTTACTGACATTAGTCAAGTCAGCAAAAGATTAATCTGTAATATCTTATTCCTAGTTTTTGAAGACTTCTAAAATATTCACTGAATTCCAGAGTCTAGAGAGATAAATGGGCTGTTCATATTGTATTGGTGGGACTGAATATCCCTCCTCTGACAGTATATATGCTCTTCTTTTCACTGAGGCCCCTGAGGTGCAGTAGGCATTTGCTGCTTCAGGTAGCATCTCCAGTGTGATCTCTTAACTGACTTTACTAACTAAATTGCACAAGTAGGAACATTCTATTTTCAGGTAACTCTCTCTATTCTGCCTTTGTATAAAAACATCATATTGTGCATTTTCAGCTGGTTCCATTAAATTCAAAGTTAAGGGAAATCCTGTGGGAGTTTTCAGTCTATTGTACATATAGATACTAGCGGTTTTACTCTCACACCATATGACACCACTCATAACATCAGTTACAATTATTTCTTTGAATATAAGTGACATAATAAAGATGAACTCGATAATAGTATTATGCATAACATTTACTTGTATCAGAGAACTTTGGTATTTTTTGATCAAATTATTAACTCTCTTATGAAATATTAAAATGTGACCTGTTGGAAAACACACTGATATTGAACCATGAAAACACAAGTACCCCAATAATAGGGTATAAAATGTTAATACTAGATATAACAGAATTGTAGCTTGCAAAAACTGGCAGCTTATCTACTTGTCTACATAAGAAAAACAATCAATTATATTTTTTTGCATTTTTATTTGTCCATATTCCATCACATCAAATTTGTACATGTTGACATCTTTGATGATAAACTTCTTAGAAATAGGCATTTTGATACATACCATGATACATCTTCCCAAGTTAAAAGATTAGTGTTAATTCTGGGCACTATATTTTAAACACTTTACCAATTTAGTATCAATGGATTTCTTAAATTTATATTATCTACTGGATAGTATTATAGGAAATCTATTTAAACTAAGAAAACATCCACTATTCTAAAAATGAAAAAATTTCTATAGTCAACATTTACTGAAGATTGTCCAATAAAAAGACAAAAAGGCCAAACGTGTCACATAAAATTGAGGACTCCCTTTTTGTTTCTCCTGATAAATATTCTACCTGTACTTAGAAAATACAAGCTTCTGTTCTTTCTACAGTGGGGGACAATTTAAAAGCTTACACAATTGAAAAATGATTCTTATGTAATCCTGAGTATTACATCTGCTATCTGTCTCAATGTGTCAATGGCTAGTGATAATAAATACTTCTTTGCTGACAATTTATTCCGAATTTATATTAAGTCAGCAAAGTCACTTTCTCTGAGCATGGTTTTGTTTATTATTTGTTTGTTTACAGGAGGAATTACCAAACCTATTCATGACTGGCTTGTATTGGTCCTGATGCAAAATCTATCTTTTAATCATTTATTTATGAGTATGATGTTGCTTTACAAGACAATTGTAGAATGAAATATTTAAACATTTGCTGTTAGATCTTCATTAAGGCAATATAAATTTACACTACAAATGCTAGTGAATACTAATACTTTAATCCATATTAGCCATTTTACAAGCATTGTCATAAACTATTTTCCTTTGCCACACATGAAAAAATTCTAATAATCAATTCAACTGGAAAACTAATTTATATTAGTTGTTAATCATTTTAATTACATGATGATGACAGTTATGGGTAGGGCATCATTTTTCTCCTCGGGATTTTTATTTTCTCCTCTTACCTCCATTATGGAAACAAAACAAAACAAAAACAAAAAGAACAAATTGCACCCCTATTTCTATAGCCCTTTCCCAGCATCCTTGTTTCTCATATGCATAAACTGATATTTAAATATCTACTGTTAACTTGGTGGATTCAGCCTCTCAAGGCTATTTTCAACCTGCTTCCTCCCTTCCTGTGTTCCGCGGGCTAGTGAGTGAACTCCTTATTGATAAAATCCAATGTTTACAGACAAAAATAACATCTCTAAGTTGACATGTGATTTTGCACTGTTTTCAGATGAGGTGAGTATGACACATTAATCAGAGGTACTTAGAATTTTAGGTCAGTTTTGCAATAAATTTTTCAGGTGCATTTTAAAGGTCTTTGAAGACCATAAGCCTATGTTAATGTTAAACGACTTTTTTTTTCTTTTTTCTTTTTCTTTTTTTTTTTTTTTAAACAAAAGGATCTGGAAAGGTAACCTACCTTTATGTGACAGGCGTAACCGGGGGTGGGTAGTATCAGCTGTATGACCTCCTGTCCAAAGCTCCAGTAAGTAACCCCACAGGAGCAAGGTGATAATGTGCCCCGCGGATGCCATGCTGCCGTGTTCACCGTCCAAGCCCTCGCTCCTCACTTTAAGGAGGGTCTGAGTTTTACTTAGGACTTCCCTCCAGGGGCAGCGTGCGAGAGGCTTTGTCAGAAATCGAACGCGTTGTCATCAGAAAGCACAGTTCCGAAGTGCCATTTGTCAGGCTGTATTTGGCTATGTAAAACCTTTCTTTCCTCGGGACAGTTGTTTATAAGCCGGGAGCAAGAGGACATTCCAAAGAGTGAGTCTTCAGAGCCATGTCCTGTCTAGAGCGCTCTTCAGCAACTACGCCGGTAGATTCAGGAAGAAGCTGTATTTTTCAGTCACTTGGGCAAAGCTGTTCATTCAGAAAAAAAAAAAAAAAAGAGAGAAAAAAACAAAACCGAGCACACGCACTCCCTTCTCCCGTGGAGGTCCTCTCTTCGGGCTCCTGGAAGCCTCTCAGAAGTCAGCCTCTTGCACTGACTTGCCAAACTGCTAGTTTTAATTCACCTTTCACCTTGCTAATTAAAAACAAGAAGTGCCATTCCCTCTAGGAGTCGCAGGATCCACCCAGCAGGGATGCAGTCTGTCAGTGGCTGTTTACAGGAAAGTTCAGGCAGGGTTGAGCAGCGTACTTGCTGTTTCTAGGAAGTATTTCTGGTCCACGTGCCTCGCTCCCATCCTCCCTCCCAGTCATAACCAGCCCCACGTTACTCAGCAGCAGGAGAGAAGTCCACATTTTGATGGGGGAAATGGGGAGTTCGGGAGGGGTGATGACATAGACTGATTATTTAAGAATAGGTGACAGACAAGGATGTGGCATCAGAAAGCGCTTTTAAATTCTTACCAAGATAAATTGACCTAAGTTGAATAAATCCAACTTCTTTTGAAAATAATCTATTTGTAACCATCCAGAATCCAAATTCTGTTTTTCACTGTTGCCATAAGGTTTTTTTCAAAATTAAGTCTTTTTCTATTGCTTATATCTTAGGGATGTTATTTTTAAACTCTTTTAAGAAAAGTGTGTTTCAAGAGCCTGAAAAAAAAAAGTTCATCTGTGACTGTCTCATAAATTTGATAGAAATGATAAATTATTTACTTAAGCAAATTGGTCAAATGAAATTAAAGGCAAATCCTTTGTCCTAAAGCAATTCCTAAATTTTACTTCAAATTTAGGAATGTTGAAGTAATTTCCCCCAGGTAAGGTAACTGGCAAAGTTGAGATTCACCACCCAAGGGATTTCTATAAAGCAGGTATTAGAAAACTTAGGATGTGCAATACCTTAGGATTCAACTGCTATGGACTTCCAGAGTTGATTTTCCAAGGCACTGTGTTTGTGTAAATAAGCTTAACACAATAGGTCAACTTTACAATCTACCTTCAATCAATCTCAAAAACTAAGCCAAACACTCAGGAGCTGTTGGCATGGAAATGAATGGTATTATGTTAAGATACCAATAAACTTGAATAGATATTTGATTTGATAGTGGAGAGTTAAATGGTAAACACTGATCTCAACTATGATAACTTTTTCTTATTCTGTATTTTAAATGCTAATAGTTAAAAACTTTTTGAGAATTATGTTTTAAAATCACGAAACTATAACAAAAAGATAACATGTGTCACCCTGATATTTTTGCATTATATAGAAGCATATGTACAGCCAGGCATTCTCTACCCATTTTTCTAATCATGAGATGTTCTTGTACAAGCAGAGTATATTTAGCAAAATGTAAATGTCACTGGACATTATAAATAATTAGATTTCCAAGGTCTACAAAAGATAGCAAACTCTAAACATTATTTAACAGTAAAATGACATGAAGTTATTTAGAGACTTTTAACCTGGAATGCTTGCATATTTTAAAAGCCAGTCTGATGAGCTACAGACCTAAAGGTTGCTCTAAATGTGATACATTGTACCTTCAAAATTCTCTTTTGCTTTCTTCTAGGATGGAAACAAATGACAAAATAAATAGCAGCTCTTATATGTGTTATCTAATAGTAGGATTATAGGAAAAGTAAATGTGGTGCCTACACCTTTTATTGCAAATTCATGGCTACTCTCACATAGCTGAAATTCTACTTAAGATTGCATAGTGCCTGTCCTAACTCTACTATAGAACTGAGACAATGTGAGACATTACAATCATTTCATTAGTACACAAAATATGCACCTCTAAAGTGTTGACAAGAGAATATATGTTATGAATGCCAAGATCTGTCTTTGGTTTTACATCTCATCCTTCAGATTAAGTTGGAGCAATTTAGAAGTAAATGCCAGAATAATGGGTTGTTTAGATTCCTCAAAATGTGCTTTGGCTTATCTGCCAGTTGTCAATGTCCTTACTTATTTCTTTTAACTACTCTTTATGTCCTTTTACCTTTATCTTTATCCTATAGAAAATATATAGATGATGCCAAAAAATGACTGTTAAGAAAACTATCTATAGTCTCAGTTTCCCCTATGTGGCATTAGCAATGGAATAAAGAGTCTTTGGGACCAAATTAGTCACTTACATCATAAAATAAAACAAGAAGAATCCTCAGAAGTAGAGTCATCAAATAGCTCATCATCTAAACAAGACTTTTTTTGAGAATAAAAGAGGCTTCTATTCATAATTACACACAAATCAATAATACTATAGACAAATCACAACATCAAAATCTGAATCCTTGGGAGCCATTTCTAGATACTCTTGGGAAACATGGAAATAGAAAATTAAAAACAATAACAACAACTGACTCACCACCAACAGTAAGGGAAGAGCTTTAGTGGACTGAAAAACTTTGGAGTTACCAACAATATCAGGTGATGTTACTGTATTTGATTTGAGAGGATCCAGGCTAGCAGTTTGAACAATATCAGACAACAAGGAAAACCAGGGGAGAAGATAAATGCCAATTAGAAAGGAATTGATTGCCAGGTCAAGGGTTTTATTCCAAAATCTCTCATTCTTGCTAGTCTTACATCATTGTATGAAGAGCAATCTCAGTCTGGTAGAAAAAGGAGAAAAATAAAAAAAGAAAATTGGGTACTCATCAGGAGCTGCAGTCTCCCCCATGATGGGTTCCATCACTGGTTCTCCAATTTCAACAGCAGAAAATCAACTAGCTTCTACAACAAGCCCTCCCAGGAGGCAATCCCATACTATCTGCTGTTGAATCAACCTCAGGTACTTGTTGAAGAACAGCTTGCTATGCCCCACCTCATGTTCCCAGTTTGCCTGAAATTTTACGTTCTAAGATTTGTGTTTGACAGATGTTCCTTTAGGGCAGTGTTACCAAAACATTAGGCATCTGTTTACCACATTCACCATTTTTAGTATAACACATAGTATCTGCAATTAAACTTAAATTAATATAAAATGAAACCATTACCTCATAGGCTTCATGTCCTACTTGTATTTTTCAAATACATGCAAAAACCAAACAGTCGTAAAAGTTTGTTTCTACATGACTTAAAATTATCTTGCATACTGTGGGAGACAGTACCTATCAATATTCCTTCAATATCGTATCATCAATATTCATTCCTGGGTATATGGGAGACTATACTTTCCAGCTCCTTGGCAGTCATGTGAATTCACTTGACTAATTCTAGCCAAGGAAATATGAGCAGAAGTGATATGTATCACATCTGGGCTGAGGCAGTGAAATATTCCTAAGAAATCATTTGGTCTTTCTGAAGCCCTTTCTGTGGCAAAAGAGGAGAACTTACCTTGAAATGGTGGCAGGATGAAATTGAATCATCTTACATTACTGAATCACCACTGGAGACAGCTACCCTAGAAAGTTACTCAGACTCACAAGAGACTTTGTATGAATGGGAGGAAACATGTTATGTTAAGCTACTTAGTTTATTTGTTACCACAGCAGAGCGTAGCCTCTCCTGACTAAATGCACACACTGTACCTACTGTGCTTCAGGGAACATGCTTTTGGACAAACTTAGAGCATTAACAAGTTGCTGATGGGGTATTACGGTGTATTCCATTCTATGTGCCACTAAAACTTACTTCAGCAGAAGTTATTCATACAGACAGGCAGAGATGTGGATACTTGAGGGCCAAGTAAGAGGTAAAGTAATTCCCTGTGCCACTTGTAGAATGGGGTGGAATATGCCTTTAGCTTTTCCAGTTGAACATTTACACAAAAATGATGACATATACATTATTTATAGGTGGACAACATTACACAGTACTACATCTGAAGAACATTATGATTAAAAGCATTAAAAAAAACCAAACTATCAAAATAGCAATAATAATTACCCTTTTTATAACTAAACACAGAAATACATAAATTTTATAAATATATAAGGGCTTAAAATACTTAGATAACATAACTTCTCTGTGGTAGTTATGGCATTTCAGCTTCACTAATCTCTCTTCTATTCCTGCTAGCCCTGCTATCCCAATGACCTCCAGTCTGGAGCACCTCAAATGTCCCACCAATAAGACCTGCTGTTGCTGCTGCTGCCGCCATTGCTGCTTCCGGGTTTTACAGTTCAGGACTGCTAATGCTTTTATTGGTCATTCTATTCAGATGCCTTATATCACAGAATTTGTAAAGGATCTAGAGTCTGGATTGACTGTTTCCCACATTCAGTGATTCAGGCAGATAAGGACAGATAACTACATCACTCCTGATTTGTATGCTGCTAAGCGTAGTCCCGGAGAATGGCATTCCATCAATTAGTACCATATACGATCCAATCATTCACCAATCATTCACCCGCCTGAAAGAGGTTTGGCTAATGTTATTTTGATGTTATCATTTGGATGGCTGACAATCCAATAAGTTGGCCTAGTATTTTTCCATTTTTGACCAGCTATTCTAAAAAGCAAAAAAGACTCATAAAATTTTAATGAAATTGCTCTCATAAAATTTTAAAATTCTTTGTTTCCAAATTATACTAGGTTTATTCTCATTTTCTTTTAGGTCTTTAATAATAAAGAAAAGCAGAATAAGCATTTGGAGCCAATATAAGCTTTAATGAACTTTAATCAAAGAGCAGTCATGATTTGCATGCCTTTTCATGGCAAAATGAAATGATTAATTCTGAAAATTCTATAATATACAGGCCCTGGGAGGTTTTCCTATACTCTTCCTTATAGGTTATAGAGAATTCCTTAAAGAGACAGAACTCCAATCAGTTGCTTTAAAAAATCTAACATTCTATTAAAAAAAAAAATCTGACATTCTGAAAAAACACTTCTATAATATGTTATAATTGATGGGTTTCTATGTCTTTTGTTATACATATTTGTGAGTTACTGGTGGCACCAGTGGTGAATTGGTTATAATATGTTACTATTAATCTCAATATCTAGCACTATACTCCAAACTGATTCCACTTTAAAATGAATAAAAATAATGATTACTGTTAACTTTTTGTTTTCTATATGCTAGGCAGCATGCAAGGCATATTCATATAAAATCCAATTAAACCTAGAAAATCACTCGATGCAATAGGTACCATTTTTATTGTCACTTACACAAAACAGAATGTAGGACACAGATGTCAGTAACTTAGTTAGTTGGTTAACTGCTTAGTTAGTAACTTGCCTGAAGAGAAACACCAGTAAGCAGCATAATCGCCATTTTAAACCCAGACACCAGGGTCCATGTTCCAAACATTCCAATTTTTTTAAGAGAATATGATTTAGGAAAGACTTCATAATAGTTATCCAAATACTATACTAGCAGGAACCTATCTTTAATAAATGTTAATAATGAACTATATATAGTTTTAAAATAAAAACCTTTCAAAGCAGTTGGTGCTTCAAAAATCAGTGTCTGTGATTGAACTCGGCAAATAAAGTCCTATATTCCAGGTTGTGTCAGATGGCAGAACATACTCTCTGAGATTTCCAGCTGCACACATATTAGTGATTTGGTTAGTTAATTGAATACCGACCCTTGTAGGCTGTTGGGTTTTGGCTAGTCTTTTAGGCTCGGCAAACACGAATAACAGGATGGCTAAATAACGTAGGCAAAATTATTGAAGAACAAATTCCTAAGGGAACTAAGAAATGTTTTAAGAAAAATTGTCAGCTAATAATGGTTATTCTTATTTCTGGAAATATATATACATAGATAAATACGTAAAGAAATGCACAGAGAGAAAGACAGATATTTCTGGTTATGGTCACAAAAGAAGAAAGAAGTTTCCAAGAAAGGGTTTAAGGGTAATAAATCATTTACACATAGTTACTGATGTTTAGATTATTTTGTCCAAAAGATTCCAACATTTTCAAACAATGTTACCACTAATGTACCTAAACTAAAGACAACATTTTATACTCTGTCCACTTAAGAAATTGACTCACTATGAAACCAATAATAAATGCCATAAACTTCAGTAAAGAAGTTATCCACTGATTTCTTTAATCTTATTCTAGACTTTAATACTGCCCATATTTTTTTTTCTTCCTGGCAATAAGTGATCTAATTGTTTGACAAGCAGTTTCTGAGTTGTATACCTGAAAAAAAAAAAAAAAAAGGATGGAGGGAGGCAGAAAAAAAGAGGAGAAAGAAGAAAGGGAGGGAGGAATGTAAATCATAATTCAGGGTAATATATTTTTAATTTTCCTCTTTTCTTTCCAAGTCTTGAGTCCTCTTTCACATGCTCTGTAATCTCCATTATTTTTCAACTGCCCCTGTTAATGCCATAACCAAACCAGTTGGTATTGTGTGATTTATTCAATAAATATTTATTGAGTTTGTATTATTTGCAAGGCAATCTACACGGGCGTAAGATAACTTAGATACCAAACAGTCTCTTCTTGTTAATTATTTGGAGCACTTCTTTAGTTGTTCAGATTCTCTTGATAGAGGATGAAGTTTCAATTGTTAGCATAAAGTGAAGAAAACAATTATATTCCATCACAAAAGAAGAGGAAGGATTTAGATAAAACCAATGCAATTATCCATTAGTCAGTTGTCAAGAAACTGAGCAAAATGGCCTAATATTGTGTAATATTTTATAGTATTTTCAACTGTCAGACAATTGGCAGAGAGATGTAAAATTTTACACATCACATAAAACTGACAAACTCAATGAATATACCTGTTTTACATTAAAATAAAGAGAAACATACATTAACTTTAAATTTGTGAAGAATATGACTGAAAATAGGAATATTCAAAATAAATTATATTTTGGCTTTGAAAGTGAATTTTATAGTTCAAAGGAATCACAATGAACATGGAGAAAACCTGGCAGAAGGCTTTTGAAGCCTCTTCTCCCCACCCTCCACCACCCCATAAGTACTGCCTCTTCTTAACATCATTCCAAATAGCCATCCATGGAAGAGACAATACATGGAAAAAAGAATGTGATGTTGGTGAGATCCCAAAGATGGAATAAGAAATCTAAAATTGTTATTTTTGCCACCTTTTATTCAGCTTTACTATAATGTATACAAATGATTTGGCAAATCATTTTGTACACGAACCAGATGATTATTGTATATGAGCCAGATTTTACATAAGGAAGGATTTCAGGTGCAGTGCCTTTTTATTTGAATCTGTTGTTTTATTATTGGGTTTATTTTTGATGGGCGGTATAAGTGGTTATTTTGCATTACTAGGTAGTTCTGGCTTTTCATGTTCCAGTGCATAACACTAGCACCATGTGGAGGCCAGGACTGGTACTACATGTTTTCAGTTGTCAAGGAAATATAGTTACAAACCTATTTGTGCTCACAATTTGTTTCTTAAAACAAAAATAAGAATTTGCTTTATTAAATGATAATGTGACACTTTATGTTCTGAAAATAGCTAGTTTTCAAGAATGGGTCTTGCTAGTTAAGGGGGAAAATTTTTAAGTGTTAACAGTAAGAATTCTGTTCAGGAAATACTGCTTAATAAATGGCTCAGACTGTTTAAAAGATGACCATAAATATACCAGAAACAAAGGTGATAGACAAATATGTTTTGTGAAAATGTGTTGATTAAAATCTAGCAAACTCAGTTAAATTTTATAATTTAGAAAACTCTAAATTAAATCAGTCCTGATTTTTAACTATCATGTCTCATACTTAAAGCATCTTTACTGTTACTGTTACGATGAGACAATGATATAATTCCTGCAGGTCCTCTTTGTATAATCACATGTTTATAGTAAGCAATAAATAATGCAAAAATATGAACAAAAAATATAAACTGCTGTAACCTCTAACCTCATTCCTCTTGATTGCCAAAAACTAAAAACAAAATAAAACAACATCTTTCCCTTGAGATCTAAATAGAAAAAATATTTTCAACCTAGAATTTCACTTTGTATTATATAGGACTAAGAAATTATCATGTTTCCAAAGAGAAATTAGTGTATGCATGTAGAGCTATGCCTAAAATTAATTCCAGGAGAATTTCAATGCATTGTTTAATGATCTCAAGGTAGATCACTAATCATTGTTGAGAAAAGTTATAAAAATGGAATTTCAATTAAAACTCTACTGTAAGAAATTTTAATAACTAAGTAAGAAAAGCGAACTAGTATATCATGTTTGTACAATAAAATTGATAAGAGTTATGCAGGGCTAAAATGCAAGAAACAATAATATGTTTTACAAATAAGGGTGAAAATCAAGTTAAAGATTTCCTGAGTGATACAAGTTTTAAATAAGAGTCTACCTTGCCAGTTATTTTCAATGAAGTAAGCTTTACAGTATTAAAATCATGACATATTATTTATTTCCAATGACAGGATAAAAATTTATGGAAATTCATTTAAATTCCCAGAATGCGCTATTTCCTACAGTTTTTCAACTATAACGATATTAACATTGACATTTGATGAAAATCATTCAAGTATAAATTTCCCCATTCTGAATAAGCAATCAAGTTAGTTAAATATTCCTTCTAGAATTTTTCATTTTTTTTCCATTATTCAGTATACAATTTCTTCATATCTTTCCCACATAATCAAATGATTCCTCTTTATTGAATAATTCCCAAACAGCATAGAAAAAATGTAGTTTCCCATCATAAAAATAAATCTCCCCCTAATCTCACTTATCCTCCAGTGAAAGATTCATTTCTGGTTCCAACTTATAGTTAATTTCTTCAAAATACTGTCTATACTCTGTCTTCATTTGTTCACCTCTCATTTTCTCCTGAATCTACTCTATCATTTAGAATTTTGTTTGGTTGCAGGTGGTAGAAAACCCAAACAACAGTGATTTAAATATGACAAATTTGACTTCTCCTTCTTGTAAACACAGTCCTGGGGTAAGTCCAAGGCTGGTGTGCCAGAGTAAGGATCATTACCGACATGAACACTTTCTATCTTGTAGTTGTTTTTCCATCTTCAAAAGGTAGTCTCCATCGCATAGTCCAAACTCTAGCCATCACATCCTTTTTGTGGGCAACAATAATTAAGAATTAATAAAGAAGGGTATAACTATGGCTTGAATGTCCCCTGCTATACTCATGTTGAAATTTAATTGCCATTATGACCGTATTAAAAGGTGGGACCTTTAAGAGGTTACTAGGTCCTGAAGGCTCTGCCTTTATGATGGATTAATGCTATTGTCTTGAGAGTGGGCTCCTGATGAAAGGATGAGGTCAGCCAGCTTTCTTCTCTGTCTTGCTGTCAAACATGTGCACCTCCTCACCATGGATGCCTCCCCCCATGTTATGAGGCAGCAAAAAAAACCCTCACCAGATGTGGCCTCTCAAACTCAACTTTCCTGCCTCCAGAACCATGAGCCAAATAAGCTATTATTAATTAATTAACCAGTCTGTGGTTTGCTATTATAGCAGCGAAAAAAGGACTAAGAGAGTTTTGCCTTCTGCTTTTAAAGACACTTCATAGAAGCCCCCGTGTTCCTGACCTCTAAATTTTTGAGTGCCACAGGATTTAGACCTATGACTTCATCTGTTCTCCATCCATACTCACCCAATATAGCAAATTTGCAATGTGTCAACTTGGCTAAACTGAACCACCTTTCCTAGAGTTCCCTTTTGTGTTTATTTCCAATTTGGCTGAGTCAAAAAGGAGATTCTTGGGAGAATTGAAGGGTGGAAAACAAACAACAGTCATTTTTGTAAAACACACTGGTTGCTTACACGTTGGTTTCAGTGGCAGCTTTCCGGCCTGCCACTGCTACACCTTCCAAGGAACCTCCTTCAGCGTCTCTGTCTCCTAGACCAGGCGTGTGTCTTTAACTCCATGACTAAGGGCTCCAGCTTCTGCAGGACACCCACATCACCAAAATCAGAGGCGACAAGACCTGATACTGGTTTTCGTCTGTCTTCATTGGGTTCTTATTCATTGTTCATGCATGGAGGTTTTAGCTTGTTCTTTCTCTCTTTCGTTTTGTAAGCTTCTTTTCTGACTACCCACCCTCTGTACAACAAGCTGTATTGTTAGGCAGGAACATAACTACCTTATAATGACTTATTAATCAGCTTCCAAAAATGTATAATTTGAAATCCTTATGACAAATCCATATTTATCTTCTAGGGAAACTGCTTCTTCTATTGAACCCTGACTAGTACACCCTCTAGAAATCTTATCCAAGACCATGGTTTTTCGTAACATCAAAGTGCTGAGGATCCCAAATTTATACAAATAAACTCAACCATTCAACCCTTTCCACTAAATTACAGATTTTATATCCACTTGCCTTCCAGATATCTCCACTTGCATGTTTAATAAGCATCTGTACCTTAATATGTTCTGGTTTCTAACCTGCCCTTTATTCCCTCCATCTATAAACCTACTTCCACCCTCTAAATAAATGAACACATCTAGGTCCCTTCCCACAAATGCTCTTCTGCTCCATGTCAATTAGGATAAAAATAAAATCCTTATAGTTGTCTAGGAAGTCTTTCTTGATGCGGACTCCTACTATATCTTTGACCTTATCTATCATTTTCTTTCTCCCTCACCCCATTCAAGACACATTGAGTCCCTTGATAATTCTCAACCTAGGTAAGCGTTCTCCCACTTCAGGGCCTTTGTGCATGCTGTTTTCTCTGGCTAGAAAGCTCATCCCTCAGAAATACATGTTTTACTCGTAGTAACTCTAAATTTTTATTGGAAGTCAAAAAGTTAAGAAAGTACAATTACTAAGAAAATAAATGCTGAATATAATTAATTGTAATGTATAATGCTAAACACTAATTTCAACTATCTACAAGTATCTGTAATAATGATTTTAGCTGGAAAGAATTTTTTAAACCAATATTTAGAGTAAAAGAGCATATGTTGAATCCTGGTTTAATACTATGTGGCTCAGTGATGCCCATGATCAAAATATTTAACTTTTTCTGAGCATTATTTTCTATCACCTGTATCATAGATGTAGTAATACTAACTTAAGTAGAATACATATTTTGAAACCCATATGATTATACTCAAACTTTTTATATACAAATATTTCTATATTTTTATATGTTCTTCATGTTAATGTTAGCATATTCAAATATTTAAATAGGTTTTCCTGTTTCAATTTTTGGGTTATGAAAAGGTCTGCATGAAAGTTTATAAATATGTTAGTTATTTTATTTGTACCATTTGAACAGTGGGTTATTTTTTTTTCCTTAAAAACTACTTCCTGGCTGGGCACAGTGGCTCATGCCTGTAATCCCAGGACTTTGGGAGGCTGAGGCGGGCAGATCACAAGGTCAACAGATCGAGATCATCCTGGCCAACATGGTGAAACCCCGTCTCTACTAAAAATACAAAAATTAGCTGGGCATGGTGGTGTGCGCCTGTAGTCTCAGCTACTCAGGAGGCTGAGGTAGGAGAATCACTTGAACCCGAGAGGTGGAGGTTGCAGTGAATGGAGATCGTGCCACTGCACTCCAGCCTGGCAACAGAGCGAGACTCCGAAAAAAAAAGAAAAAAAAAAACAAACCTGCCTCCTGTAGGTACTTATGACAATAACATAAAAAGCATAATTGATTTTTCAGGATTGAAATAGCTTAGCTCTTGTATTATTCCTAATGTTTCATATTTTCAAAAGCATTGCTGTAAATACAGAATGTCTCCTGTGTACTGCTGAAGAGATGTAAGTAGCAACCTAATACCTCTTTATTCTCATTAATGAAATGAACGACCTCTGCAGAAAGACAGTATACTCTTTCAGAATAAAAGAAAGTTATTATCTCATCAGAACCTTTAGATTACTTACCTTTTGACTTTCTTTCAATCCATCAGCCTCTCTTATCTTTACTTTCTCCTTATCCTGCTGAGAGTCTAACATTTCCCTATTTCAATAATGCTATTGCCAATAGCCTAAACTACTTAGTCCCTCTCTCTTATTCTTCAACCATCAGGCAAAACACAAGCTCTGGATTAACATGATTATCTAATGACATGGTTTAGCTTTGTGTCCCCACCCAATTCTCATCTTAAATTTTAATCCCATAATTAATACCCAAGACTAGGTAATCTGTAAAGAAAAGAGGTTTAATTGACTCACAGTTCTGCATGGCTGGGGAGACCACAGGAAACTTACAATCAGGATGGAGGGCACATCCCCACAGGTAATGAGGAGGACCCGGTGGGAGGTCACTGAATCATGGGGGTGATTCCCCCATACTGTTCTCATGATAGTGAGTGAGTTCTCACAAGATATGATGGTTTTATAAGCATCTGGCACTCCTTTTCTCTCCTGCCACCTTGTGAAGAAGTGCCTTCCATCCTGCTTGTAAGTTTCCTGTGGTCTCCCCAGCCATGCAGAACTGTGAGTCAATTAAACCTCTTTTCTTTATAGATTACCTCGTCTTGGGTATTTCTTCATAGCAGTGTGAGAACGGACTAATACCTCTGCTTTCTCTATGTCTAGACAGAAAGTAGCTAGGCATTGTCTCAAAAAGTCATGACAAGGAGGATGGATATTACACTGAAGGTATAAACAGTAACTCACTTGGGCTCTCTTCACTGTCTAGCAAATTTAGGATCTTTAGCTATTAAACTCATAGTCTCACTCTTCTTGGTACTTTTTCCCAAAACATTCCTTCTCAAATGTGTAAGCTACCCTTCCGCAAAATCTTTCCTCATTTATAGCATATAACCTAGATGTCTATTTCATAGAAAAAGCTAAAAACGTAACTGCATATATGCTTTTGTTTCCTGCACACATTTCTGTTGATTAATTGTTGATTAAGGAGGGATGTGGTATCCCTCCTTCATCTGCCATTGATATTTCTAGCTATAGGTTGAACTCTATTTCTTCCCCCTTCTTAGGAACTGTACATTACAAATTGTTTGTCCCCTTTCTCTTTCAATTGCTCTTTTTAAAGTAGATGTATAAATGTGCTCAAGTCTTCATATTAAAAAGAAAAACAGCAATCTTCCTTCAAACTCCTTTTCTCTATACTATCTATCTCCTCGACAGCCTCTTCCCTGTTACAGCAAAGCATTCTTTAACGTCCCCTTTACTCTCTTTTTTCTATACTTCATCTTTCTTTTCAAATTGTTATTGTCAGGCTGCTGATCCCATCACATCACTACATAGGTGAGTGATGCTTTCATGTCACAAATCACTGCTCATTATTCAGCTCTCATAAAAAATATGCAAATAAAAAAGAAAAACTAAGAAACCAATGGCCTATAACTTCCATGTCAAGATTGTCCATGGTCTATAATAATTTCCCTCTGTCCAAGACCTACTCTCCTTAATTACCAACTTTACAAACGTTTATTTCTAAATACTTTACTTTGAAAAAAAAATTTTTTTTTGAGTCAGGGTCTCACTCTGTCACCTAGGCTGGAGTGCAGTAGTGCAATCACAGCTCACTGCAGCCTTGACCTCCTGGGCTCAAGCAACCCTCCCACCTCAGCCTGCTGAGTAACTGGGACTACAAGCATGTGCCAACCTGCCTGGCTAATTTTATTTTTAAATTTTTTTTTTTTTTAGAGATGGGGTCTCACTATGTTGCCCTGCCTCATAAACATGCATTTAAAAAAATTATTATCAATATTCTTACACCAAGCTTACAGATACTGAACCTATGAACTACGGTTTTCTAGATTTGTTAGTTGTCACTGAGGAACAACATTACCACAAACTCAGTGACATAAAACAACACACTAATTATCTCATAGTTTCTGGGGAAGGAGGCTGGCACAGCTTAGCTAGGTCCCCTGCTCAGGGTCTAGCAAGGCTGCAATCAGTGTCCGCTAGAGCTGAAGTCTCATTGTAGGCTCTGCAAGGAGAGGATCTGCTTCCAAGCTTACTCAAGTCGCTGGTTAAATTCAGCTTCTTGTAATTGTAGGACTAAGGGATTCCGTTTCTTATAGCCTGTCACTCCAAAGGCTGCCCTCAGTCCTACAGGTCTCCCAGAGATTCTTGTTATGTGGGGTTCTCCAACATAGCCTCTAGTTTCCTCAAAGTGAACGAGGGAGACAGTCCAACAAGATGAGCACTACAGTCTAATATCATGTAATCATGTAATCACACAGACATAAATATATACATCCCATCACCTTTGCCATTATCTATTGGCTAGAAGGAAGTCATGTGTCTCACCCACACTCAAGGAAGAGGATCACACAAGGGCATGAACACTAGGAGGTGGAGATCACTGGGGTCACCTTAAGAATTTGTCTAACACTGAGGGGCAGGTCATGATGATGACGACCACCATCCTGTGGTGGGCCAGTGGATTCTCTTATGTCACAGAGTTCCTCGTGCCTCCTGCAGACTCAGTGCACTTGTTTACAAGGAAAGCCATAGTTGAGGAGGCATCAGCATGACCTTAGGTCTGGGCTCTTGGTGAGACCACCCAGCTGTGTGAATATGACAAGCCCCCGGCCCCCACCACCTTCCTTCCCAGAGCGCAAGGAGTGCAGGTGACCTCAAGTCCTGGCTGGGCCACAGACTCAGCCTGGCTGGCACCAGCGATGGCCCTGCAGTGGAGCTGTGAGGTGCACAACACAGGTCACCCTAAAACTTAGGCAGCCAACCTTCAAGATCAACATTGACTGTGAACAGACAGTGAAAGTACTGAAAAAGAAGATTGAACCTGAAAAGAGGAAAGATGACTTTCTGGTAGCAGGTCCAAAAATCATTTTATGCAGGCAAAATCCTCAATGATGATGCTGCTCTCAAAAAATATAAACTTGTTGAGTTTATGGTGACAAAACCCAAAGCAGTGACAATACCAGCTCCAGCTACAATGCAGCAATCAAATCCTGCCACTGCTATGAAGTGAGTTCCTCCGCAGCAGCTGCTGTGGCTCAGTCTGCAACCCTCATCTCTGCCTTTGCTCCCACATCCACACCTATATCTATCACCCCAGCACCAACAACAGCATGTCCTGAACATGTACCTTCTAGTACAATGAAACAAGATAAACCTGCAGAAAAGTCAGCAGAAATACCAGTGGCTACTAGCTCAACATCAACTTAGAGTAGAGCAGGGGATTCTTCTCTGCCAAACCTTTTTGAAGTTGCAAGTACACTTGTAAAAGGTCAGTCCAATGAGAATATGGTAACTGAGGTCATGTCAATGGGCTATACACAAGAGCAAGCAATTGTGGCCCTGAGAGCCATTTTCAGCAATCCTGACAGAGCAGTGCAGTATCTTTTAATAGGAATACCTGGAGGTAGAAAAAATCAGGCTGTGGTTGAGCACCCCGCTCCTCCCCACCCAATCAGGTACTACTAGGACTCCTCAGTCTTCAGCAGTGTCTTCAGCTGCTGCAACTATGACAGCAACAACTACAAGTTCTGGGGAACATCCCCAAGAAATTTCACAGAATCAGTCTCAGTTTTGACAGATGAGACAAATTACTCAATAGAATCCTTCCTTGTTTTTCCAGCATTGTTATAACAGATAGGTCAAGAGAATCCTTAATTGCTGCAGCAAATTAGCCAACACCAGGAGCATTTTATTCAGATGGTAAATGAACTAGTTCAAGAAGCTGGTGAACATGGAGGAAGAGGTGGAAGTGGCAGGAGAGGAATTGCAAAGTTGGAAGTGGTCACATGAACTACATTCTAGTAACGTTAGGATAAAGAAGCTATAGAAAGGTTAAAGGCATTAAGATTTCCTGAAAGACTTATGATATGAGCATATTTTGTTTGTGAGAAGAATCAGTTTGGCTGCCAATTTTCTTCTATAGCAGAACTTGAATGAAGATTGAAAGGGACTTTTTTGTATCTTACACCTCACACCAGTGCATTACACTAACTATATCCAGTGGGTTGTCTGGAAAGACTTGGGGTCCTACCCACAATACTTTCTATATGATAGATTTTTAGGGGTGGGGAGGGTGAGATCTAGGATATAGGGCAGGGATGAATACAGTGCATGTACGCTTCAATTAGCAGGTGCTGCACATCCAAACGGTATGATTATACAGCCTGCTTTTGCAGGTCTTTATTTCTTCTACAAAGTAGGCGACTTTCCCTAGGTTTCACTCTTTTTAGTGTACTAGATTCAGAAATTTAGTGTAATGCCCTGGTTTATATTTCTTTGACTTAACATTGGTTTCAGAAAGAATCATTGGTATGTAGAATTTTCAGTCTGTTTCATGAAAACACTGGATAAGGGCTTTGTGGAATTAAAAGGAAACTCTATGGCAACTGTAAAGAGAAATGCCAAATTATTGATGGTTAAGAGAAATGCCAAATTATTGATGGTTAATTGTTGCTGCTTTACAAAAGTTTAAAATTAATGTATAAGAAATCCCATTCTTTCCTGTTAAATACATGGGGTGGGGTAGGGGAGAAAGGGAAGCTTTTCTTACAATGAAAATAACTACTTTAACTATTTTAAAATTTCTTGATAACTTAATTACAGGCCTTTTTAAATTTTTTTTTTTTTTTTTTTGAAACAGTCTTGCTGTTTCACACAGGCTGGAGTGCAGTGGCCTGATCATGGCTTACTGTAGCCTCGAACTCCTGGGCTCAAGTGATTCTCCTGCCTCAGGCTCCAAAGTAGCTGGAACTTACAGACACACACCACCATGCCTGGCTAATTTTTAATTTTTTGTAAAGACAAGGTCTTACTATGTTGCCTAGGCTGGTCTCAAATGCCGGGGCTCAAGCAATCCTCCTGTCTTGGCCTCCCAAAGTGCTGGGATTACAGGTGTGAAGTACCATGCCCGGCCAGATGTGCCCTTCTAACATGATCTGAGAAGCTGTATGAGTATAGACAAAGTTATTTTCCTGTTTACATTTTTTGTTTGTTTGGGGGAAAAATTGGTATGTTTCTGATTACTGTTTACTTCATTGATGTATTGCAGTAAAAGTTTTAAAACAATTGTTGCTTATTTGCTTTTGATGTATCCCTTAGTGAAATTAGCACTTTTAGGTCCAATGAAGAAATGCAGTATTCTCTCTTCCTCTTTCCCTTTCTTCAGCAGAAATGTGTTTATCAGCAAGTTGTGGGTCAAACTACTGCCTTTAAAAAAAAAAAAAACAACTCACAAAATTCTAATTCGGATCAAAATTAATGCAAACATTTCAGAACTAGATTTCTGATATTTGTAAATGATTTTCTTTATTAGTTAAGAACGTATTGCCACTGAAATAATTAGTGTTGTATTGCTTTCAAACAGAGAAGGGGACGGAACTGTGATCCAGCATCCCTGGAAAGACTGATAAAATCTTTTGAAAGGACGAAGAGATATGTCTAGAAAAATACTTTTGAAAATATATAATCAAGATATCTCTTGGCATATTAAAGGAAAAATATTTTATAGCAAAAAAAAAACTATCTGTCCACCAGAGCAAAACTTGTTTTTTCCAGACTTACTATTTTTTTCCTTTTAGAAGAAGAAAAGGCAAAGCAACAAAATATCAGCAACAGACTCTGGTACATTTCAGATGTTCATCTTTAACATCAGTGTGTGTGCACCCTCAATCAGACAACCCTAGAATTGGTTGAAAACTTGAGTGTGTTGGGCCTCAGAAAATGTAACCCTGGAATATGGTGCATTGACATGAAGCAGCCTCAAGATTTCTCTGATTCTCCCGACACCCCTGTGACACCCACCCCCTGTCTTTCAATCCTCTGTCTCTCCCAAAGCACTGAGTGAAGCTATTCTCTGAAGTTCCCTTATCTAGCTAGAAACCAGATCTGCAAAGAACACAATTGCCTTTCCTGAAATTTCATTAACCAGAGAAGATTAAAACTTGTATCGCAGAGAAAGAAACTGAAAATTAAACACCACACTTAAAGCCCAGATAAACTTCATCCCAACTATTGTCTGCTCTACGTCCCATTCAATTTCCAAAGAAAATTATTTAGCAACTATTGTTTGAGCATTAGGCCTAATCTCCTCCTAAACATAATTTACTATCCCTCAAGTTGCCAAATTTTCCCCATCTCTCTGCTTCTCCTGTGAAGGAGTGTATATATACATGCATCTGTACCTAATTGGGTTATTGGGTGATCATTTCCCTGTGACTTCCCCATGCTATGCACATTAAATAAATTTGTATGCCTTTCTCTCCTATTAATCTTCCTTTTGTCAGTTCATTTTTAACAAACATTCAGGAAATGAAGGGGGAACTTTCCTTCTTTGCCTCTACTAGTAGATTTCAAAGATCCACTCTTGAAAATAAGTGTCCTTTTTTATTTTTTTTGAGGCAGAGTCTTACTGTGTTGCCTAGGCTGGAATGCAATGGTGAGATCTTGGCTCACTGCAACCTCTGCCTCCCAGTTCAAGTGACTCTCCTGCCTCAGCCTCCTGAGTAGCTGGGATTACAGATGCCCGCCACCATGCCCAGCTAATTTTTGTATTTCTAGTAGAGACAGGGTTTCACCATGTTGGCCAGGCTGGTCTTGAACTCCTGACTTACTGATCTGCCCGCCTCGGCCTCCCAAAGTGCTGGGATTACAGGTGTGAGTCACCATGCCCAGCCATAAGTGTACTTTTTGTAGGCAATAATTATCTCACCTGTAAGATGAAAATGTACCCTAGTGAGACACAAAAGTCTAGTGAGACACATTTTACTTAAATAAAAATTTTAAATGTTTATGTCATGACATATGTGTAGCATTTTATTTGCCATTTGCCCTATTCTTTAAATAACGGTTTTGAAGTCATATATTCCTTGAGAAGCATTTGCTATTTTAAAGGGATTCCAATCAGTTATTACTAATCTTTTGGGGAAAAAAATATATAATAAAAAGGCAATTTAGGATCTATGTGAGCTAAAAAATAGATGGACCATATTCACTTCAGTTATCTTTATAACTGTGTTTCAATTGTCTCTCTTTTAATTACTGCCAATTTATTTAATGTACATAGCATGGGGGAGTCACAGGGAAATGATTATCCAATAACCCAATTAGGTGCAGGTGCAGGCATATATACACTTCTTCATAAGAAAAGGGGAGAGATGCGGAAAATTTGGCAACTTGAAGGATGGTAAATTATTTTTACAGGGAAATTAGGAAAACCAGGCTTGTAGACTATGCAGTTTGCTGTTGTTTTTATCAACCTAAATAACAAATGGACAGGGATATGCTAAAAGAAATGATGTTTAGTTCAGAATAGGAACTGCAATGGGTATATGTGTGTCATAGTCCTCTCTGCATATTCAGAGATGTAAAAGAAAACAAATGTTTTTAAAGAAAAAAATGAAGAGGATTACATAATTGTTGTGAGATAATTATCCTTAGTTGCAAAGATTAATAACAAGGGTGGAGTTAGTGCAAAATTGGATAGGCAATTGCTGGGTAGATGTTCTGGCAGAAGTTTTTTGATTTATTTGTTTAGTTAGTTATTTAGTTAGCTAGTTAGTTATTTGCATAAGGTTGTGGTGGCTTTTGTGCAAGGTTATAGTTTTTTGCAGAGTCTTTTGTGATAGATTTTTTTTAATCAGACAATTGTTCATGAAAACCATTCCTTCATGTCCTTTCTGTGCTCCATTTTTCAGGGTTTTTTTCTTTTTTCTTTTTTTTTTTTTTAACACAAGTGACTATTTTTATTCTGACAGTTTTTAACATTGTTTATAGGTAGATTTTAGCCAAGTTGTAACTAAAATTACATCTAACTTAATAATTTGCTGTTGTCTTCAATAAAAAGTCACTCTTTCATAAAACTATGCATAATTGTATGTTGGACACAGGAAGGATGTTAGATTATCCAGTCATTGAAGGATCAATTATATGTCATCTATAAGGCAATCCTCACAGCATAAATCCTAAGAATAGCTTTATATTAAGGAACAAATAATACATACATATGCTGCATGCAAGCACACACTGCCCGTGAACAAATTTGGAGAATTTGAAGAAAGCTTTGAAGAAATGCTTATAACTTAGATTAAAATTAAGTTTAATTATATAAAGTATTAGATTTTTGGAATTTAGACAATTTAAAAATGAATTAAAATTTAACTGAAATTCCACTCTTTGGTTCTTTCCCTTCCTAACCTGGAAGACAACGAACTATTTTTCTAATGAAAAGAAATATATTGGCGTCATCATTTTTACTCATAACAGTAAGTGAAGGAAAGTCAGAATTGCAAATCATACACTTTTGGTAAAAAGCCAATACAATTACAAAATTTATTTCAGTGTTTTAATACTTGATGTAGAATTGAGCCTTGAACAACATGGGAGTTAGGGGTGCCATCCCCCAAATTGTCAAAAATTTGCATATACATAAACAGTCAACACATATTTTCTATGTTACATGTATTATACACCATATTCTTATAATAAGCTAGGGAAAAGAAAATGTTATTGAGAAATCACAAGGAAAAGAAAATACATTTGCAATACTTTACTGTCTTTGTCCATACAATAAGTTTACGTTGTCTATTTCCTAGGTGAATCATCTGTCTGAAATGTGGGGGGCAACCCCAGTTGCAGGCCTCGATCTGTGCTACACGTCAAGCAATTCAGCTTTTTCTTATAATGTCATGACTTCTCTGCTTCCTGGGAGCACTTCCAGCATCACTAGTGACACTTTGTATGGGTCCCATGGTGTTATTCCAGGTTTAAGGTACTGCATTAAGCACAATGAAAAATGCAGAACTATGGAAGAGCACTTTTTACTGCTACACACAATTTAGTAGAGAAATGAACTGCTCACATGGAGATGACTGGTGTCATCTGGCATTTGAGCAGATACCCCCAACAGTTGAGCTCACTGCAATAGCAACAGGAGGTAGCTGGGAAATCATTGCAGTAGTATAGTATGCACTACAGTTAATTTTATGCAGTTATGACTTAATACTGCCTCTTTACATTTATTTACGTTTCTCTCTATTGCAAATGTTGCCATGTAAGGTCATGTGTGCCTAAGTTTTGATGAATTTTATCTTTTTATAAATTTATGTGTATGTTATGGTACTAAATGATAAAAAGACTGTCTACATATATTTTACGCATTCATGACATACTTAGATTATTCTTAATTTTTCATATTTGTAGGCCACATGTTTTGTCTTTTCCAAATTGTCATAATCTCAAGAAATAGTTAAAATATATTTGCTGAATAAATCCACCTATACATGGATCTGCACAGTTCAAACTCGTGTTGCTCAAGGGTCAAATGTATTATCTTTGTCATCACACCTCTACAGAGATTTTTTAATATTTTCAAACAGGAGGGACCACACTGTTTTCACAATTTGTTTCTGTTTTTCTTCATGCAGGTAATATACAATGAACTTCCTAGTAGCTATTCTGTATGATCTCAATAACTTTTTATTGTCTTAAATTATTATGATTACACTAGGTTTGAAATCACTTTCCTTCTATTTTGCATTACAAGAACATACCAGAAGAATTAGGATTTTTCAAATACCTTGTACTTACTTTTAAAAAAAGCTTTTTAAAATATGCATTAACTTTACAATGAAAAACGTACCTAGTTATCTCTCCTTTGTGTATATAAGTATCCACCCTTCCTGGAGGTGATTCTTCAATTAATGCTCTTCAATTGAGTAGCATCAAATGAGGTCCTTCTGTACTCTATAATTGGGCATGTCTGCAACCACTCCTTTTTTAAGGTTTAGTTTGTTATACTGAGTAATCATTATACATTCTCCTAACTTTCAGTCATCTTCACTGTGTTTTCTACAGGTCTTTTAAAATACCAAAGCCTAAGGAATTGCAACAGATCCTTATATTAGAATATTAGGCTGTCCTTTAAAATTATGTATTTTGGAAGCCCATTTATAGATATATAAAAAGTTTATGAAAAAGAATTACCTGGGAAAATTAGAATATAAAATTATATATACAGTAATGGTTGTGTATACTTACAAAAATATAGGAAATAGACTGAGAGTTTAACAGTGTGTCTCAGGAGGAAATAATTTACATAGCTTAAATATTTTCATTTTTTAATATATTCTATAATAAGCACATATTACATACATATATTTATATATATAAATATATACATATATATTTTATATACATACCCACATATATTACATATATATGTTACATATGCATAGATAATAATGAGAATTTATTTTCTTTTCATGATTGTCTTATTTTGTTGTCATTTTGTCTTTAACATGGTTTCCAGGAGTTTGAAACTAGATTCCTTTTATTTGAAATTCTACTTTTGGCTTCTCAGATATTTTATTAACTCTGCATAGAATATCACCTTATGGAAGGTTAAACTGCTTTGGATCAGAGGCCATTAAACTGCAGCAAACAAGCTAAATCTGGTAGCCCACAGTGACCTAGGAGAATTCTTACATTTTAAGTAATGAAAAAGTATTCAAGGAAAAATAGTTTGAATACTTTTTGGTGACATGTGAAAATAAAATTTCAGTGTTCATAAGTAAAGTATTATTGAAACACAACCATAGAGTTGTTTTCATATTATCTCCAACTGCTTTTGCACTACCCCTTCAGGGTTAAGTAGTTAATGGCTTATAAAGTGAATGGCTTATAAAGCTTAATATATTTACTATTGGGTCGTTTTCAGAAAGTTTGCTGACCCTTTTCATGATCGTTGTTCCTTAAACTGTGTACGTATACAAATCATAAGAGGAAATTCATAAAAATGCAGATACTGATTCTGCGGCCTGTAACTCTGCATTTCAAACAAGCTCCAGGTGATGTCAATTATTGCTCTTCCACGAACCACACTCCAGGTAGTAAAGCTCTGGATAGCCATTTTGATGTAATATGCAAAATGTAAGAGTTATTTGAAACCATCATTCCCAGGATGTTTTCTAGTGCGTGTGTGTATGTGTGTGTGTGCACGTGTGTGTGTGCACATGTATGTGTGACTTCACATCCCTCTTTTACTGAAAATCAGTAATAATGGATCTGGGTAAGTGGTTTAAGTAAAGATAGGAAAAATATATGGTAAAAGAAATGGTTACAGAGCATTGATCTCCAGTAAATGTCTACTGGAAAATTTATAAATGTCATAGAATATATAAAATATTCAATATAATGACATATGCCAGGATACTGAGACTGAATTTTTTTTTCTTTTTTCTTTTCTTTTTTTCTAGAGGCAGGGTTTCACTCTGTCACCAGGCTGGAGTGTAAGTTCTCCTTTTTTATGTAATAATAATAATAAAAAGTTATGTGCCTACAAAGATATTTAAATGTTCATTCCTTACATACTAATAATAAATGTGCATATAAAATCTATAAAAATTATTAGGTTATAATTATTTAGTTCTTTTCCTTTTTTGACAAAATTATCTCAAACTAGTCTACAAAAACAAACCAACTACCACCCGAAAATGAGTAGCTCTGGTAATTTATTATAAGTGTTGGCTATACGCTGTAGCAATAGCTCTAGGCCACTCTTTCTCACCATTAACAGAGGGACAAAGTAGGCTATTGTGTTAGAAGAGTTTTTCCAGGGAGGAACTCTGTTTGGATTCTTCTCCCTTTCTAAATTGCTTCCTTTTTCCTAAGGCTGGTAAGGTAAAAATGAGTTTGTGATTACTTCTCCATGGGAGGTCCCTTTGTCCCTGTAAGATTCAGGGAAACCAGGGAAAGGAGATCTGTAGTGGTTAGCTGACAGTAGCTCTTCTCTAGGCCTTAGGAGAACTATTATTTTACTTGGGTCAGGATTCTTTGTCTCTAGTCACAGAAGGTTGCACCAAGGAACAAGATTAGGAAAAAGACCAGTAAGCTAATTTCAGTTTAGACCTTAAGCTAGAGAGCCAGTAGAATTCCTATAGTATTTGGAGATCATAAAAACAAATCAACATAAATAAATGTACATTTACGTTTACATTAGAGCGCATTCCTGAAAAATCTGGCAAATTTGAAAAACATACAAAAGTAATTTTTGGTTTATATGTAAAATAGAATGAAATTCTAGGTTCAAATAATCATGAGTGGTTTTTTTGTTTTTGTTTGTTTGTTTTTCTGAGACAGAGTCTTGCTCTGTCACCCAGGCTGGAGTGCAGTGGTGCGATCTCGGCTCACTGCAAGCTCCGCCTCCCGGGTTCACGCCATTCTCCTGCCTCAGCCTCCTGAGTAGCTGGGACTACAGGCGACCGCCACCGCACCCGGCTAATTTTTTGTATTTTTAGTAGAGGCGGGGTTTCACCGTGTTAGCCAGGATGGTCTTGATATCCTGACCTGGTGATCCGTCTGCCTCAGCCTCCCAAAGTGCTGGGATTACAGGCATCAGCCACCGCACCCTGCAATCATTTTAACTATATGAATGTCAAGCTGTTAAGGGGTGTCCTAGTGAGAGGTGACAGCGTGCTGGCAGTCCTCACAGCCCTCGCTCGCTCTCGGCGCCTCCTCTGCGTGGGCTCCCACTTTGGCGGCACTTCAGGAGCCCTTCAGCCCACCGCTGCACTGTGGGAGCCCCTTTCTGGGCTGGCCAAGGCCGGAGCCCACTCCCTCAGCTTGCAGGGAGGTGTGGAGGGAGAGGCGCGAGCGGGAACAAGGGCTGTGTGTGGGGCTTGCGGGCCAGCTGGAGTTCCAGGTGGGCGTGGGCTTGGCGGGCCCCGCACTCGGAGCGGCCGGCTGGCCCTGCCGGCCCCGGGCAATGAGGGACTTAGCACCCGGGCCAGCGGCTGCGGACGGTGTACTGGGTGCCCCAGCAGTACCAGCCCACCGGCGCTGTGCTAGATTTCTCGCCGGGCCTTAGCTGCCTTCCCTCGGGGCAGGCCTGGGGACTGCAGCCCGCCATGCCTGAGCCTTCCCCCACCTCCGTGGGTTCCTGTGCAGCCTCCCCGAGGAGCGCCGCCCCCTGCTCCACGGCGCCCAGTCCCATTGACCACCCAAGGGCTGAGGAGTGCGAGCGCATGGCGTGGGACTGGCAGGCAGCTCCACCTGCAGCCCCAGTGCGGGATCCACTGGGTGAAGCCAGCTGGGCTCCTGAGTCTGGTGTGGACTTGGAGAATCTTTATGTCTAGCTCAGGGATTGTAAATACACCAATCGGCATTCTGTATCTAGCTCAAGTTTTGTAAACACACCAGTCAGCACCCTGTGTCTGGCTCAGGGTTTGTGAGTGCACCAATCCACACTGTATCTAGCTGGTCTGGTGGGGCCTGGGAGAACCTTTATGTCTAGCTCAGGGATTGTAAATACACCAATCCGCACTCTGTATCTAGGTCAAGGTTTGTAAACACACCAATCAAGTTTTGTAAAAACACCAACCCTGTGTTTAGCTCAAAGTTTATGAGTGTACCAATCCATACTCTTTATCTAGCTGCTCTGGTGGGGCCTTGGAGAACCTTTGTGTCTATACTCTATATCTAACTAATCTGATGGGGACGTGGAGAACCTTTGTGTCTAGTTCAGGGATTGTAAACGCACCAATCAGCGCCCTGTCAAAACAGACCACTTGGCTCTACCAATCAGCAGGACGTGGGTGGGGCCAGATAAGAGGATAAAAGCAGGCTGTCTGAGCCAGCAGTGGCAAGCCGCTGGGGTCCCCTTCCATACTGTGAAAGGTAGCTTTGTTCTTTTTCTCTTTGCAATAAATCTTGCTGCTGCTCACTCTTTGGGTCCACACTGCTTTTATGAGCTGTAACACTCACCGCCAAAGTCTGCAGTTTCACTCCTGAAGCCAGCGAGACCACGAGCCCACCAGGAGGAACGAACAACTCCAGACGTGCCGCCTTAAGAGCTGTTAACACTCACCCTGAAGGTCTGCAGCTTCACTCCTGAGCCAGCGAGACCACGAACCCACCAGAAGGAAGAAACTCCAAACACATCCAAACATCAGAAGGAACAAACTCCAGACGTGCCACCTTAAGAGCTGTAACACTCACCGCGAGGGTCCGCGGCTTCATTCTTAAAGTCAGTGAGACTAAGAACCCACCACTTCCGGACACACTAGCTCCCAGAGCTTCCAAGATGGCAGAGGGCCCCTTGCAAGATGGTGGCAACCCTTGTGTGGGGTTCTTGGCCTCACGGATTCCAAGGAATGGTATCTTGGGCCATGCGGTGAGTGTTATAGCTCTATTAGAAGCCGTGGGTCACGGAAGAGAACCTGCAACCCAGTGACTAGTGTTCACCTTGATTAGGATGAACCCGGGCACTTAGCCCTGCAGGAACAATGGCAAGCCTTTAGCCCAATCTGGAGCAGCAATGGGTGCCTTGCTGGATCAGGAGCACAGCAGACACCCTGCCGGATCCGGAGGTATGGAAGTCAGCGGGGGATCTGCGACAGCCGCAAACAGCAGTGGTGGACAGTGAGCGAAAGCTCAGCTCTAGCCGTAACAAACATGGACCAGAAGAGAGTGCAGTTGCAAGATTTAATAGAGTGAAAACAGAACTCCCATACAAAGGGAGGGGAGCCAAAGAGGGTAGCCGTTGCCAGCTCAAATGCCTGGGTTTATATCCTGATCATTGTCCCTCCTGCTGTACTCTCAGGCAATAGAAGATTGACTATTTCTTTACCTCCTGTTTTTGCCTAATTAGCATTTTAGTGACCTCTCTTTACTACCTGATTGGTCGGGTGAGAGCTAAGTTGCGAGCCCGGGGCTTAAAGGTGGATGCAGTCACCTTCCTAGCTAGGCTACGAAATCCAGCTAGCCCTGCCTCTCAATGCGAAATATTTCAAAACTGTGTAAGAAAGTCTTCCTGGGCTGGGCACAGTGGCTCATGCCTGTAATCCCAGCACTTTGGGAGGCCCAGGCGGGCGGATCACGAGGTCAGGAGATCGAGACCATCCTGGCTAATATGGTGAAACCCCGTCTCTGCTACAAATACAAAAAATTAGCCAGGTGCAGTGGCAGGCGCTGTGGTCCCAGCTACTCAGGAGGCTGAGGCAGGAGAATGGCGTGAACCCAGGAGGCAGAGCTTGCAGTGAGCCAGAGCTTGCAGTGAGCCGAGATCGCGCCACTGCTCCAGCCTGGGCGACAGAGTGAGACTCTGTCTCAAAAAAAAAAAAAAAAAAAAAAAAAGGTTTCCTTATGCCTTATGCTTTCCTTAAGGCTTAATTGATTTGAATTGCAGGACAGCTAGCACCCCTGGCTATCAACCATAACCATTGACAGTGTCCCCAGTCATTGTGAAACCAAAAATGCCTTACAAACAGCAAGAGCTGGTGATACAAAACCTATTAAGAATCTATGCTATAAAGCAAAATATCAGAATTAGTAATAATCATAATAATGCTTACGTTTTCATGATCTGTTACCTGAACCTTTCTGGCAACAATTTATGTCTGTGACTTAAAAATTATGTATCTTTGAAAAATAACTTCAAAAGCACAAGAAAAAAAAATCACTGTAAGTTCAAGTTGAATATTTGAATATTAATATGGGCCAACCTACCTATTCATTAATTTCAGGCATTTTTGTTAGCTTCTCTTTGCCCACTTAATTCTGAGCTTGGTTTACAGCTAAATTTTCTTCTACTTACTGGTTCATCATCTACAGAGGACATCTCTGTACCTAACACAGTGTTAGCATTTCTTATTCTGCTTTAGCCTTTCAATTGCAACAGGATTATTTGGTTATATTCCATATGGAAGTAAAATTGGGCTTTTTGTTTTTTTTTTACTTAATGAACATATTCTAACTCTATGTCTATCAACATTCCTTTCTATTTATTTTTACTAATTCTATAAAATTATAAATTTTATGCATTCAAAATTTTTATACACAAGAACACCATTTAGCTTCTGTTGGTATCTGGTCTTATTCTTTTACATGTTAAGTCGATTTCTCTTTGAAGATCTGTTTTAAATTTCCGGTAAACGTGAGACACCTGAATGGGTAGCATAAGAAACTGATTATACTGCTTTTCTTTATACAATATTATATTTCCTGGGAAATGAGCCAGAGTCTGATCTAACTCATCTCTAGTACTTTGAATATTCTACCACATATTGCCTTGCAAAATCTTCCACAAACAGTAATAAAATATATTCTTCCTAAATAATTTGATTTCTATTCAAATATATTTGCAGATCCTAACAATCCTATAGAACTCTAAGTTAGAGTGAGAAGAGTTTTAATTTCTTTTTTTTTCAACTCCTAAATTGTGACCAAAGGCTTTTTTTTTTTTTTTTGCAAAGTTACTATTCTTAATGAGTTTAATTTTTTTTTTCCTCTTCTTTTTCTTCCACGTTAGAATGTGCTGTTAAATCAAGTGTCCAGGTGCAAAGGTGGTTTCTAAATGAAGAGTTAGGGTAAGTTTTTTCCACTTTTTGTAATTTAGGATTGGGCTCCCAGGTTGATTCATACCTCTAAAAACAGCAGAATTTATTTTTTGCTTTTCTAAGGCAGAAGTCACTTCGACAATTTTTAAAGTGCTTTAAGTGACTACTTTAAACAACCTGCAGACTAAGGAAGTTCTCGTAGCTCTGGAAATGGAAACAGCTGGACTAGTTCAGTGGGGATGATTCAGCCTGAGTCACAGGCCCACACCCAAATGGAAAGTGTAAACCCTGAAGGCCTTAGGGGATCCCTAGAGCCAGGAATCCCCTCTGGGACCTACCACAGTCTCTGGACTGGCTCAGGTTTCAGTGATTATTTTTAGCTCCTCTTTATTTATCCTATGGTTCTCCATCCTTTTCATCATAATTTATAGTATCCTTTATTTACATTTCCAATAAGTACTGGTGAGTATGAGTAATTGCAGAATAAATTAAGATATGTCCAGTGGACACTTGACATGACACAACCCTAAAGAAAACATCAACCTACCCCGTATCTTCACTTAGTCTAAAAGTCTGGAGGAGTCCGGATATTCTTGGAGTCCCCAGAGGCAACAGCACTTCATGTTTAACTTATAGGCAAGCAGACTTAATGAGATACAGCATACAGGATACACAGCACATTTCCCCGCCCACTCAAAAATACTTTCATAAAAACAGTGACCAGTGTTTACTCTGGCCAGGAACTCCAAAACATACCCTTTGGGCTTGTTCTTCATTAATATATCACAACTGCTCTGTGAGATGGACATGGTTATTATCTCCATGCTCACACAGCTCATAATTGGTGGAGCCAAAAAATGAACACAAGATCTTTGACTCCAAAGCCCAAGTTCTTACCATTTATGATGACTAAAAACCAGTTGTATGTTTTTTCCTGAATATATTCAACAAACTTGTGTTGAGCAAAAACTGTGTTCAAGCACTGTGCTAGTTACAGAGAATTCAACAATAAATAAAACTGACAAATGACATAATGGACTTACATCTCATGAGGAAAGTAAATAATACAAATGAGTAGAATAAATTGTATTGTGTAAATGTGATAAAGAAAAAACTCAAGAAAAGCAAGTGGGGTCATTGAGATGATAACATTTAAATCCTATGATTAGTAATGATCTTTGCGAGAAGGTGATAATTAAACCAAGAACTGTAGGAGGTGAAGAAACAAGCCCTTCTCCATCCTCAACCAACCTAGCCTCCAGGGAAAATAGCATTCCAGGCCAAAGGGACAAGTTTAAAGGCTGTGAAGCACCTGGGAGCATTGCTAGAATGACCCAAGAAGAGCAAGAAGACAGATGGGTTGTAGTGAATTGACAAGTAGGAGAGGCTAGGAAAAGATGAGACCTGAGAGAGAATAAGGCAAAGAAGTGGAGGCTTCTTGTCAGACGAGAATAAAAGCAATTGTCTTTCAAATAGAGTTGAGACATAATCTGATTTATGTTTTTAAAGGGATACTCTGGCTTTTGTATTGAAAACAGACTGGGAACATAAGGAGAGAAGAACGATCAATCTGGTATACCTGTTAGGAAACTGTTACAATTCAGAAAAAAAATAATGTTTGCTTGGACCAAAGAGAGTATTGAAACTGATGGAAAATGATTGATGTACGTATTTTATAGGTGGAACTGATAGAATTTGCTAATCAATTGTATGTAAAGTAAATAGCTGGGTCAGGCCTGAACATTTGGAAGAATGGAGATTTATTAGCTGAGATGCAGAAAGCAGTAGGTGTAGTAGGTTTAGGTATTTTGCTAAGCATATATAGTGAAGAAAGAGAGACAAGAGAGTAGAGAGAGTATCCAGAAAAATGATCATAAAGATTGACCATAGACTGTCACTGGGCTGCAGAAGAATGATCAAGGTGGACTGGGAGGGGAGTGTAGAGGTGGTAGGATCAAGGGCTGTAGGTCTGTGTGAGGCTGCAGGGTTGCTGGAGTCAGTACTGGAGGGGTGAGGAATTTAATCAACACCAACTCTAGATTCCTGAAGTCAAAAAACTTATTAGAACATGTCCTAGCAGAGCTCTTAAGAGAGGCTAGCTTCTGGGACTCTCCTATAGTCTATTTCAATATTAGCTTTAGATAACTTTTTTAAAAAAATTATTAATTTAAGGGCTGAATGATTTTCTAATTATCTAAAAATTAAAGTCTTCACCACTTAATATTTGAATACTTTATAAGATAGGATTTGCCTATTTGGGATATATTTGAGAATTCCCAGAATAAAATAGATTGTCCCATGTTAGCAGTCAAAGCACATCTTTGGGCCATGAGTTACCGTATTATAAAAAGATTTCAAAATGAAATAAAATGTATTAATATAGAGATTAAAGGTTAATTATTAATTTGTGTTATTTTCAAAAATAGAACACACATTCAGAATTTAAAATTTTCATATTAATCTAATGATTGGCAATCTTTTATGAAATCATTTTACCAACATCACTTAATTCTTACAAAGTAGATTATGATAAAATTATATTTTCCTAAAGTATATTTTTAAAATAAACAAATGTGAATAGTTCATATTCAGACCATACAAATACTTTATATGTATAATTCAGACCATACAAATACTGTATATATATAACCAATCTCATAGGAAGGGGGTTGGATTCTTATCTCCGTATGTTTAATTTGAGATACCAGATAGCTCACCTTTCCAAAATATGACCTCCCCGAGCACTGAAATATAAACGACTAAATCCATTTCTGTTGTGTGTCCAAAGATCCCTAGTTCAAAACCTACACATTACTTTTGAGGTTTAAGATACCCCCAATTTATTTTCTATTGTCATTATCTATTAATAAAGCAGAAAAGTCATGGAGAAATTAAGCATTGATCAAGTAAGCTTTGTTGGAGCATATGGGAAGAAAAAGATCTCAAGAAAAAGAAATGGGCTGGGTGCAGTGGCTCATGTTTGTAATCCTAGCACTTTGGGAGGCCGAGGCAGGTGGATTGCTGGATTGCTTGAGCCCAAGAGTTGAAGACCAGCCTAGGCAATGGGGCAAAACCCCATCTCTATAAAAAACACAAAAATGAGCCAGGTGTAGTGGTGCACACCTGTAGTCTCAGCTATTTGGGAGGCTGAGGTGTGACGATGACTTGAGCTTGAGAGGCAGAGGTTACAGTGAGCCAAGCCTGTGCCGTTGCACTCCAGCCTGGGACCCTGTCTCAAAAAAAAAAAAAAAAAAAAAAAGGAATGACCTAAGGGAGGCAGTTCCCAAGTGAGATAATACAAGGACAATGTGGTGTCAATGAGTTGAGATACTCATTTGGAAGAAGAAAAGAAAGACAACATTTCTACCTTTTTTTTTTTTCCTTTTTGAGACAAGGATCTCACTCTGTTGCACAGGCTGGAAGGCTGGAGTGTGGTGGCATGATTATAGCTCAACCTCCCGGGCTCAAGCAATCCTCCCACCTCAGCCTCTTGAGTAGCTGGGACTACAGACACATGCCACCTTGCTTGGCTGTTTCCCTTTTTGTGGAGACAGAGGTCTCACTATATTGCCCAAGCTGCTCTTGAACACCTGGGCTCAAGCAATCCTCCTGCCTCACCATCTTAAAGTGCTGGGATTACAGGCATGAGCCACGGAGCCCGTCATTGTTTCTACTTTAACAGTTAACCTCATCAACATTAGTAGCAATTCTTTTGATTAAAATACAGCAGATATATTTTTTATTAAATGATTATGATCTTGGTTTAAAAAAATTTTTTTAGAAAAGCAAACAAATTACATAATACCTTTAATGATAAAGGTATAAAGAGACTTTCAGCCATATGTATTTCTGTAACAATGTAAGTGATTATTTTTGTAATGGAAAGAATATATTTTTGGAGGGGAAAGGAACATACATGTTTAATTTTATGAATAATGAAGGTGGAGTAAAGGCCAAGAAAACTTATTATTATGTATAAAAATGTTATTTCAACATTATTATTATCTACAAAACCAAAATGGATTTAATTAAGGTGGGCAAGGAAGGACATATTTTAAATGAAAGAATTTTCTTATGCCTAAATTGGATACTAAAAACATTCAATACTGTTTATCTGTATTATTTTATTAACTTTGAAAATTATTATTATATTGTCATTCATTTACATCCTGATTTAAAGAAAAGTTTTATAACTATTTTTGGAAAAGACCTATTAGATCCCTGCTAAGGTCAGTTCTTCAGGATAAGACTTATTTTATTCCTTTTGAATAATCTTGTATACTTATGAGGTCGAATGGGTAGTCAAGGAAATAACCATGTTCTCAAGATGTGGCCACTGTGGTGACCATACAGTAGGCTCCAGCGTTTGCACTGTAGTCCAGCTCATTCAAGCAAAGCTAACTCCAGTAGGGAATTTCCCCTGTAGAGAGCATGTGCATTTTGATTTTACCTGTCCTCTGACTGAACTATGCTCATTATAACAGTAAAAAACACACCCTGGATGGAGATTTAAAGTGCTAATGAGACATGTGATGTATGAATAAGCATGTACAGCAACTGCACATGTGGACTACCCAGACCATGCTTACTAGTAACACTTCTTTCTACCTCCTTATGAATAATTACGTAAAACTCACATAAAGGGAGTCTCCCTCGTGCCAGTCTCTCCTGTCTCATCCTTATGAGCAGCCTACCCTGAATACTCTCTCTCAGTGTGTACTGTATATTCTGCACCTAACTTTCAAAATATTATTTTCCTTTGCAATAAATTGCTGTATGCTGCATCTTCTTTGCTATGTCTCTTGTTTAAATTATTTTAAACTAAGAAGACCAACAACCAAGGTTTCATAATAGCCATCAACATTTCTACACTCATATCTACTACTTGTATCAACTCTTAATAATAATAATTATGATGGGGCAAGAACTGCTCTAAACAGTTTCTATGTATTAACACATTATACAAATTTTATGTAGATTATATTCTTAACCCATTTTATAGATAAGGAATCCAAGACAGATATGTCAAATAACTCGCTGAAGATTGTATAATGAACCAAAGGCTAAGCTGGTGTTTACATGTGATACAAGTATGCTGTGAAGAAGCCAATATGGTCAAATGACTCAGATTGTCTATCTGTAAAAAGACTAAAGACTGTTCTGTTTCTACTAACTTCAATGGAGTGGGATAGTGAGTATCAGGTTTTAGTGGGTTAAGACATGAATTCAAAGTCAAAGTGAAGACATTAAATTTATATAAAATGACAGGTAGTATTAGATTTTATTAATTGTCAAGGTTATCAGTTCCTGCTGGGAAACGAAGTGTATGTATGTTGGGGTTTGTAGGTGGGAAGTGGGTCAGAAAAGGCTTACAAGAAGAAATAAGAGCTGTATCAAACATGAAAGACAAATAGAAAATTTCCAAAAGATGAAAGGCTGGAGGAAAGGGCAAAGGATCCGGACTGAGAGAATGGGATGAGGAAGGAAGGCAGGGAGGAGTTTAGAGTGGAAGAGGAAGAGAGCAAAGATGAAGCTAGAGATCTAGGAAAGGGTAAGATTACGGAGGCCTTGGATGATCTGCCAAAAGCATTAACTTTATCCCTTATGTAATGAGACATCTTTTGATGATTTGAAGCACAGACTTCAAATGTTTGAGCTTATGTTTAACATAAATCACTTTGGCAGCTTTGAGGAGGCTATGTTTGAAAAGAGAAAATTTGGTAATAGGAGGTTGCTGCAGAGATCCAAGAAAAAGAATTCATGATTTTAGGAGGAGTGGCTACAGTGTCTGGGAGAGGAGAACATATGTATAAACATGCAAGAGGTAAAATCAGCAAGTGTTAGTCTATTTAGTGGTAAGTAGTGAGCAAAAAGGAGGCCTCATCTCCTGGTCTGCTTGGATGGCAGAGTTCTTGTTGTTATCAAAATTAAGAGAAAACACAACTGCAAGTGCAGGATGATGCACTAAATTCTAAACAAGGCTCCAGGAAGACACATAGTGGAGACGTAAGGTAAAAAATAGAATGTATAATACTTTAGGAAGATACAGACTGAAAGGTGTTTATGGGCAGTAACCAGCTCCAACATGTTCTCAGGAGAACAGTAACATTTAAGTTTCAGACAGAAGAGCCCAGGAGAAATAAACTATTAACCAATGATAGGGCATAAAAGATCCAAGGGAGTAGAGAGAGAATCTCAAAAAGGAAATAGAAACTAACTTTAAATATAAACTCTAATAACACAAGAACCTTTGGATATGGCAGTGGGGGTTGGGAGTTGTTGGTTTGCTTAATGATGCAGTCACTCTCAGTAGACATAGAAGCCAGATTATAGTTGCTTGAAGAGGGAGTAAAAGGCTTAGGATTTCATGAATTCCTTATTTTTCCAAATGACCGTCGCCTTGAACGTGTTCTGTAGGTGGCTGTCTTTGATCTCTGTGTTGGGAGGGAGGTTCATAATTTCTATCACCATTCTCAGCAGTTTTACAACCAAAGCTTTAAAATTTAAGAGGCAAAATAATTTTATGTTGTAAATCTATGTGACAAATTTTTATCAGTTGGTACTAACCTATGATATTCTCAGAAATAATTTCCATTTGAAATTATATGGAGAAACATGATCTGTAATTCGCATCACCAGGAGAGAAGAATGTTGGCATATATATATATATATATATATATATATATATATATATATATACACACACACACACACACACACACATTAGCTAACAATCCAATGATTATATATATATATATGATTGTTAGCTAATGTACAACATATAAAGATATTTCAGAATTATTTCTACTATTTATTTTTATTTGTACATCTTGGGTTTTTTTCTCCTTATAATTATTTAAAGGTAGTGATTGTGGTAGGTTCTATAATTTTTATTGTCTTAGAAATAGCCAAATCTGTGCAATTATCACTATGTCACTCAATAATTTAAAATTTTATTTTATAATCTGAGGATGTGATTATTTGCACACACTAACAAGCATTATGAACACCTAAACCTAGAAATCAAAAATTTTCAAAGCTTATTTGTTTTTATGGCCCCCATGGGGACAACTTGAGGCTCAAAATTCAGCTTTCTGGTATCCTTAAACTGGCAGTGGAGACTGAGAGAGATCCAGAAGATATTTAAGCATTTAGACTTGTTACTTAGCAAGAACTCTACATTAAATGACATTAATTCCCTCTTTAAAAAATGGCCCTCAAGTACATGCAGCTCCTCTTCATCATTTTCATTAACTAACAAACACTATGCAAACATATACACTTTTAAAGAAAAAGAAGAAACATATAAAACAAGGCGGTTGGCCTGATTTTCTGATTTTTTTTTTTTTTTTTTTTTGATATTTGGTGAAAATGTCTGGAGATTTAAAGACTAGATAATTATCTCACTGCTTTATGCTTTTACAAACACTTTGGGGTCATCATTGAGGACGGTTAGTTATCTACTATCACCACACATATTTATGTAACCAAACCCTATTCTGTTCATATAAATTGTTTAATACTGCAATAATATGAGTCATTGAACTTAAGAATCATATTTTGTCAAAAAGTTTTATATTTTTGTCATAGCCATTAGAAAGTTATAATGTGCTCATCTGTGAATTTTAAATAAATTTGGTGGAAATAATTACCTGATTGTATGTTTTCTTAAGAAACAAATTGATATTAGCTGCCAAGTTATTTAAAATTCTCTCTGGTTGCCACCATTGTGTAAGTTAGTGGTTATCTTTATAAAATCCCAAGGACTTCTTGAAGAGTTACAGGAAATCATACTTTTTGCTATGATTCTAATTCCATGGCTATTTCCTCAATTTCAAATTTCTGAACTTTTGACACAACTGAAATAATAAGAAATGGGGTGGGGCAAACTTGTCAGTGTAGGCAACTGTGAGAAATCTAACAAAGTGCCCTGGGCTTCCGTCTGTTTCCCAGAAGATGAAGGGAGCAGGTGCCTGAGGTGTGCTCCTGTGGAGGAACCCTCGGGCAGAGCTTCAGAACTCATAAAGGTCTAAGGCTGTGGGAATCTAATGTCTAGGGCTGTGGGAATCACCTTGGTGGTTTCAGCAGCTGTGATCTGTACTGAATGCCTGATGAACTCCCTTCCTCCCAGGGAGGAATGGATGGAATGTGGATTCTCCACTTTACCTAGGGCTTTGAAACAGCAGGGAGCTCTTTACCATCTCTAAGGCCTTAGCAAGCTGAAGGTATTTAAGACTCATAGGTAGAGGGCCCAGGGTTTCCCCATAAGTCAAAGTGAGGGACGCTGCACAATTAGAACTTACCACAATTATCTTGGTTTTATTTCAACAGATATTTAAAAATTAAAACCAAACAACAAATTGAAGAATAACAGTGGAGGTAAACAAGTACATTATCTTAAAAGTCTATTTATAGATTCAGCATGGGCCAGATCTTGTACTCAGAAAATGGTGTTGCACAAAATTGTAGTGTAATCTTTATGGCTATAAATAACGTAATCATGTGTAACGTCTACCTAATTATGTGGATTGAAGAAAGCTGACTTCAAGCATTTTAGAATAAGAAGGTTGGTATGTATTGGATACATAATAATAATGAGTTGCATAACCTCAGGAGATAATTTTACCTCTCTGGGCTCTCTGAAAAATAAAGAAGTTGGACTACGTGTTCAAAATCCTATTATCTCAAGTCCTGAAGTTTTAAATTATAACTATTGGTCTATTTTAAAGTTATAAGCAGTATATGATTCACTAATTGTTTTTGTATTATTTTAGTTTTTTATTTTTCTAAGTATAAAATCATTCACGCTTGGTACAAAAAAGAATCAGAGATTTTTTTAAAAAAATTAAGAAAACCTATAAACCCAATATCCTAACAAATCTAAAGTGAACATTTTTGTGTCTGTAAGTATAAACTTCTTGTAATACATACACATTTTATTAAATTGGGATTATACTATTCGTGCTATTTCATTATTCACTTTTTGTCTTAAAATGTATTGGCAGGGCGTGGTGGCTCATGCCTGTAACCCCAGCACTTTGGGAGGCCAAGGTGGGCGGATCATGAGGTCAGGAGTCTGAGACCAGCCTGGCCAATATGGTGAAACCCCGTCTCTACTACACACACACACACACACACACACACACACACACAAAATTAGCTGGGCATGGTGGTGGGCGCCTGTAATCCCAGCTACTCGGGAGGCTGGGGCAGGAGAATCATTTGAACCCAGGAGGCGGAGATTGCAGTGAGCCAAGATTGCGCCATTGCACTCCAGCCTGCGCGACAGGGTGAGACTCAGTCTCAAAAAAAAAAAAGTATCACATGTATTTTCTATGATTATATTTATTTTGTTAATAAAGGTTGCATGTTTTTCTGCATGTATATTTTGTGTATAAGCCATCTTTTATTTAAAAAATCATAGTAATACTGATGAAGACTATCAATAAATATCAATAGATTATGTTCAATAACATTATTAATGAACATTTAAGTTGCTTATTTCTGCTATTATTTATGCTTCAGTAAGTACACTTACATACCCGTGGTTATGAATTTCTCTGAGTATTTCCATAAGATAAATTCCAAGAAGTAGAATTGTGAAATCAGAATTGTGAGTGTGTGTTTTAATGTGACAGCTGTTTTTAAGTTAAATAACATATACAAATTTTATAAAATACACAAAAATCATGTTCAGTCATAATTTTAGTGTAATACTTTGTTGAACTTCCATTAAGTGATTTTTCTGTAAATATATCTTTTAATATTATTGAGATTAAATGCATTTGCAAGAATATATTTTGAAAGTATTGGTGTATTTGTCACTCACATTGGGGCAAGAGAGAAAGGAATAAGTGCTAAAATCAGGCCCCAAATTTCTCATACAGTGATTAGCAGAGACATACACCAAGCAGGTCTGTTACTCTGGGACCTGGCTGGGGTAGAAGTAAAGAGCCTTGGGCTGCTGTCCCTCTTGGCCCACATGAATTTTTTTCTCCTTCTTTTTCACATACTGTGGGTGAGTGATCCCAGAGAATTTTAAGTCTAAGGCCATAGAATCGATGTAATTATTTTCTAAAATCTGGATTGATACCAACTCAGAAATAACTATTTGGCTGCAAATTAGTAAAAACTACCATGTAAAAACACCCTTTTATCAGGCACCATGCTTTATACCTTAAATGCATTGTTTGTTAAATTTGCAAGAAGAAAAATAAGGAAGGAAGAAACAAGAAAACAGGAGTTCTGCACTTTAGGTTCTGTTGTGCCTGTGAAAAGAAGAGGTATTGTTGAGGACATTGCACTAAGTGAAATAATCCAGTAACAGAAAGATGCATGATTCCAATTACATGAGGTATCTGAAACAGACAAATTCTTATAATCAAACAATGGAATGGTGTCTACCAGGAGCTGGGAGGAAAGGAAAATAGGGAAATACTAGTAAACAGGCATAACATTTCAGTCAAGCAAGATGAATAAGCTCTAGGGAAATGCAGTACAATGTTTTACCTATAGTCAACAATAATGTGTATTGTATTGTAAGGGTGGAAAGTTGTGATACCTTTCTTCACTCATCATAAGGGTCATGGCCGCACTTCTATAGCAAAGATGGGTTAACAAGAAACAAATTTACTTAATCAAAGTTTAACATGACACAGGAGCCTTTAAAAATGAAGACCCAAAGACCCAGAAAAAAATTGTCCATTTTATACTTAGATTTGATTAAGAATGGAGAGTTATGAGGAAATGTGATTGGACAAAATGGCATGATCTAAAGGTGATAGACTGAGGAGGGAAACCTAACAAGGACTGTCTGTTCAGATTCTTCTTGGCCTCTCTGTGTATGTAGCATTTCTTCCTCCAGGTAGGGGGCAGGACCCGTCTGGAATGAGCATCTTCAAGGGAGAAGCAAGAAGGGGGACAGTGACCTTTCTAGGTTTTATGGCTTGCTTTGAAAAAGAGAGTTCTCATTTCTAAGACCTGCTTTGGGGAAGTTATATTCTGATTTCCAAGATTCGCTCCTGAAAGGAGTGGAAGACAGGATGGCAGGAGAAAATGAGAAATAGATTGCTTCTGAGGCCTTCCAGCATCCTTCAGTTCAAAGTACTCAACACACCAAGGCACCATACTTTAGGGTATCATATTCTGACCCTCAATATTACACTTAAAAATTTGTTAAGATGAAGCCAGGTGCAGTGGCTCATGCCTATAATCCCAGCACTTTGGGAGGCTCAGGAGGGCAGATCACTTAAGGTCAGGAGTTTAAGACTAGCCTGGCCAACATGGTGAAATCTCGTCTCTACAAAAATACAAAATTTAGCCAGGCATGATGGCAGGTGCCTGTAATCCCAGCTACTTGGGAGTCTGAGGCAGGAGAACGGCTTAAACTGGGGAGGCAAAGTTGCAGTGAGCTGAGATTGCACCACTGCACTCCAGCCTGGGTGACGGAGTAAGACTCCATCTCAAAAAAAATAAAAAATAAAATAAAAAATTGTTAAGATGGTGGATTTCATGTTCATTATTCTCACCACCATAAGATTTTTTAGAAATGTAAAAATTGATGCATAGAATTATTTAAAAACCTGCCCAAGATTAAAAAGCTAGTAAGTGGATGATTGAAATCAGATTTGATTATGCTCTTTGTCCATAATCTCGTTGTCTTAACTCATAATGTTTTACTTACAATATGTTTACAGAACATTACAAATTCATCTCAATACAAGGATCACCTGAAACTCACCACTTATACTATTTGAGTGAAAATAGTCATAATCTTGTACTTCTTATGTCTGGTAATGTTTGTTTAGTCTCATACATTTCTATCCTAAAAACATTAGGTGTGGGATGAATTCTGTTTCTTATTCTTTTTTCTGGAATGGGTGAATTGCTGTAACTTGCTAATTTTCCCCCAACCGAGTTCTATGGTTTCTCTGCTAGTGTAATACTTATCCCAATCTTATTTATTCATTTATTTGGAGTCTTTTTTTTTTTGTCACTATTTAGCAGATGAGCCCTTTGCCCAATGAGTTGAAAGTTAGTTCTTGTTAAGCATACTGATCAGTGAGAGTTTTTTTTCTTAAATTGGTGAGGGATTTGAGGAGATACTAAATAAGATTATACCTTTGTTTTATAAAAGGTGCATGTGTATTAAATATCTTCCATCATGTAAATCTTAATATTTTATAGAGCCTGTGTATCCTCTCCAAGTTGTATGAGTTATTTCTCCCTCTTTAAATAGCTAAAAGAAATGGAATCACAGAAGTGTTACGTGACTTCCCCAAGGTTATTTAGCAAATCGGCTGCAGAATTGCAGAGTTTAGTTCAAATCAGCTAAAACTAAGAGAGTGCTTTTTAAAAATAAAGCTGTAAAAGCTTTAAAATAATCACTAGAGTAGACTAGAACTACTTAATGAAAGCTAGACAATCAAAGAGGTTGTTTTACTTTTATCAAAGGCAAATATTCTAAAAGTGTGTAGCTGATCTTAAAAGATACTGAGTTTTCAATCATAAAGCATTCTCAGATAAATAAGATTCACACAAGGGATTAAATCTGTTTAGTCCTGCTCAAGGTTATGAAGCAAGTATAATAGAGAAAGGCTTTTAGAAATCTACTTGAATAAGCCATTTTGATCTTTTTATCTTAATTGCTTTTTATCTCCTGATAGTTTGCTTCTCAGCTTTGGTGTTGGGTTAAAAAAAATTTTTGGTCTGCCTTTACTTTGTGCTTGTTTGCCTGATGTAATGACAATTGTGTGTCTGTAATATTCATTCCAAACTATATTGTTTATACTCTTTGTTTAAATGGTTTGTTTCAGAAATATTTAAGAAGATTTCTCTACCTAAAATAAACATTTTGAAGAACCATTTAGGAGTAAGAGAGATGATGACTAGTGTGTTTTGTGTTAAGCACAACTGTGGCTCATAGGGTGAAATCTTTGCTACATTGCAAAAATAGTTTCAATCTCTCTTCATTAAAGCAAATAATTTGGTTGCCTGAAAGTCTAAAATACCTGGGTCATCCAAACGGAAATCAAAAGGCTGAGATATGTGTGGCATTTGTTATTTGAATTCCTACACCTTTCTGTGCTAGTGTTAACCAGCAGGTAAATTGTGAAATGCAATGAAATGCAAAGCTTAAAATAAAATCAGGTCATAAGCTGATCTATTTACAATTTGACATAATATTAACAAATTCTTACTGGAAAGTTTTATGACATTTATTTGGTGTAGGAGAGAAACCAATCTTACTTTGAATACCTAACACATGTAATTGGCTCTTCTATAAAAACGTGGTCCTTTAATGTGACTTCTTAATATCTGAAAAGTCATTGGGTAGGGGAAAAAAAACAAAAAAACAGAAACATGCAATAACATTAACATATATGAAATCAAGAACAAAGCAAATCTAAATAGTGTTTTAAAAGGATCTATATTATATTTTACTATGAACAGTTGATACAAGAATTTTAAATAGGCACTAGATCATTTTGAAGCAATCTGTTTGAAAACTCAAACTTTTTTGAGTGAACAGTTTTTTATAGTGAACACAGCTGTGGAATGAGCAGTGTTCACTATAGAATTGTGGAAACATAAGAAATAACTTATTAAAAGTGTTAAAAAATGGTTTGATAAAACTTATAGCTCCATGACTAGAGATATCTGCATATACTATAATATGTATGTATATTTTGTTTTGGTTTTTCTAAGTTGGCTTTGAGGTGTCTTTTAGGAAAGTGGCTATAAAATCTAGCCCTGCCCAGATGGGGCTCCAGGGAATTTGGTCATCGATGTTTACAGTATGTCTTTCATGGGATACTTCTTCATCCTGGTGGACAGCCTGATGGCTAAATGTCCAACTTGTAACCAGGTGTCCTGTTCACAGGAAACTTCTTTATAGTGGCACTTGCTTTTATGGCTCTTGTCTTACCTGTGTCTCATTTATTCCTACTAAGATTGCCACTGTCTTGGAGAGCCATGACTGGGAAAGATGTTAGGTTCAAGTGTGTTGGTCAGGTGAGGCAGCACAGAGGAGGCAACACAACAAAACACTTAAAATAACTGAATCAATTGATTATTTACAGATCTCAGAATGAAGAGAGCAGCATCACAGGACCAAGGGGAAGAGGGGAGCTGTCGGAGACAGCACACTCAACCAGCAGGGTAGAGAGAAAGAGAGAAAAAGAGGGATAATGGGCTGAAGCCTTTGTTGGGGCCCAGGATATTACCCAAGCAGGTTTCCCTTGGGTTTGGAGCAAGCAGGCATGAATTCCACAGTGTCACGCTGTGACTGAGAGGGGGTCACCGCAGCACATCTGCAAACTCCATGCAGGGCATGGGGGTTGGTGGGGCAAGTCAAGTAGGTTGTATCTAGCTCCGTAGGGAGGTGATTACTAGGAGACAGTTGTATAAGGCAGATATCTGGCTCACTACATTGAGGAATTGGGAAGAGGTGTAGAACTGGAAACTGTCAAGCCAGGCTTCTGGTATGAGAAAGTTAAACTTATATTCAAAATGGATGTGGAGAAAACATGAAATTCTAGGAATTTTCTACATTGCATGTATGTGTGATAGAATTCAGATGTACATTCAGTTTATATATAAAGACTTTCAGAGCTTATGATGGGGTATGGTAACTTTAGGGCCCATTTTAATCTAAAAAAAGAAAAAAAAATGAGTTCCTTAAAAAAATTGTCCACAGTGTATAGGGTAGATATAGTATTGAAATAAAAAAATAATTAATATGTCATTTGAATCATAACATGTTGTGTTGAAAATTAGTGTTAAACTTTATACAAGTCTAATAAAAATGATTTTGTTTTAAATTATGATTTACCAAACAACATTCAAAATATTATTTTCCAAGGGAAGCAAAGACAAATGTGATTATTATGAAAAATTAATAGTAGATAATGTAAAGAAATAGCTTTATTATTTTACAAAAATTTCCGCACTTGTTTACTATAAGCTAAAATTACATATGAAAAAAAAAAATCACATAGCTGGCATTAACATATAACTACAGTGTAAAATTACTGATTTACATGTGGCTGTAAAACTTTACACCATTACATGTTCCATAAATATATATTTTTCAAATGAATATAATAAACTGAATATTTATAGTTGCGCATCTGACCCTATTAAGTTAGAAATGTATGGGAAATTCTTAAAACCCAGGTTTTTCACTCAGCAATAAATGTGAATAAAAATTATTTATCTTAATGTTAATCTCAAAGTAATATAAATGGTACATTAGATCTAATTTTTTCTTAGAAGATTATATCTTGAAAATTTATATTATCTTTATTATTTAAAAATCAGTTTAATTCTATTATTTGTTTGATAATATATTCATCAAATATTTTTAGGCATCTATTATTTTAAATTCTCTGCAGAACTATATGCTACCAAGAGTCAGGAGATATAAGATTTGGTTTCAATTCTGTTACTAAGTTATTGTGCTGCCTTCTAATTAATCAACTATTTTTCTCTGTTTCACTGTCCTCATTTGTGAGAAAGAATCTCAATCTGTAATTGAGACATGGTTTCTGCTCTTAGGGGCTTCATAGTGTATTAGGAGAGAAGACGATAGTATAGAATGTTACAAGTGTTGTAATCAAAAATGTTCAGGTGGCAGAAATTTCTTCTGGTTAATCGGAAACCCTCTTGGAGAAGGTAGCAGATGAAATTGAATAGGGAAATTAGTAGAATATAATTTTTCAAATAAAGATGGTGGAATAAATTATTGTAGGTGAAATGAAAGCAAGGAGAGAAGGTATGGAATTTGGAAAGCTATAGTGTTTCTAGAACTTTCTGGTTCATGACCCAATTGGTGTGTCAGTAACTATTTACATCAGTCTTAGGCCAAAGGAAATACTTGACAGATTAATTTATTGGGTAGTTTTAAGTCCAAACAAATTATAGTTCACATGGTATGCAACAAATATCAGCATACTTTCTTGGAATATTTAAAGATCCTGTAGTGCCACTAAGAGTTTACTCAAGTGCCCCACGGCACCTTGCTTCTGTAAACCAAAAAGTATCTAAGACAGGACTCAATTAATTTAGAAGTTTATTTTGCAAAGGTTAAGGACATCCCCATGACACATCCTCAGGAAGCCCTAAAAACATGTGCTCAAGGTGGTCACGCTACAGTTTGGTTTTATACTTTTTAGGGAGACATAAGACATCAATCAATACATGTTAGACAACGTTGGTTTGGTCCAGAAAGGTGGGACAGCTCAAACTGGGGGCTTCTAGGTTATAGGTGGATTCAAAGATTTTCTGGTTGCAATTGGTTGAAAGAGTTTATCTAAAGACCTGGAATCAGTAGAAGGGAGTGTCTGGGTTAAGATAAGGGGTTGTGGAGACCAAGACTTTTATTATGCAGATGAAACCTCCAGGTAGTAGGAGAGAATAGATTATTTTAAGGTCTCCATTTTAATGTTAATGCTGGTCAATTTTGCCTGAATTCCAAAGGAAGGAGGGTATAATGGGATATGTCCAACTTTGCATTCCCATCATGGTCTGAACTTATGTTTCAGGTCAACTTTGAAATGCCCTTGGCTGAGAGAAAAGTTTCATTCAGTTGGTCGGGGGGTTGGGGAGCATAGAATTTAATTTTTGGTTTACAGTTCACAGTTTGGGAAGCATAGTTGTAGTGTGTTTGGTTATAATGCATTCAGATTATGGCAAAGGAGTTTTTGTTATGTTTTGTTTACAGCATGAGCCACATGTAAGACTGTAAATGAAAAGCCCCAATGAAAGAAGGGCTTACACAATCTAGTCTATCTGTGAACTAGCATGTAAAAAGAATCCAGAGGCTGGGTGTGGTGGCTCACACCTGTAATCCCAGCACTTTGGGAGGCAGAGGCAGGAGGATCACCTGAGGTCAGGAGTTCAAGACCAGCCTTGCCAACATGGTGAAACCCCGTCTCTACAAAAATACAAAAATTAGCTGAGTATGATGATGGGTGCCTGTAATCCCAGCTACTTGGGAGGCTGAGGTGGGAGAATCACTTGAACCCAGTGGGGTGGAGGCTTCAGTGAGCTGAGATCACGCCATTGCACTCCAGCCTGGGCAAGAGAGTGAGACTCTGCCTCAAAATACACAGAAATTGGAGGGAATAAAAAAAAAAAGTTCAAATATCAAATTCAATCTTCTTGAGAAAGATTAAGGGAAAGATCCACTTTATACATACAGCAAGGCTTCTTCACCCTTTTTCCCCTCAATTTTATGCTAAATTCTTTCCCACTTGCTCTGACCTTTGGTCTATCCCTACTACTTTTCAATTTATGAATTGCGAAACATCCTGGAAATGGTTTGCAAAGCTTTAGAGGAGAGAGAGAAAGCATAGTAGAATCATCATAAACAAATATTACAATCTTATTTGTGCAGAAGTATGTAGAACATGGAGACTATATACACACAAATAAATATTGTGCCGGTCACATATTCCCCCATTTCGTGAACCATCATGAAAGGGCTCAGTCTTTAATTGTGCCATCTAGTGACTCTAATTTGGTCTATCTCATCCCTTTCTTCCATATTTACTGGTATGCCTTTGAAGGTATTTATTTGGTCTCCAAAGTTTTCTTCTTAGAAATCTAAGAGCAAAGGAATGTGGGGCTTTCTGTGGGATAAATGCATCAATGTTAGAGTTTTTCTTCAATGTCTGTGTTCCTAGCAGGATGAGAAATATAGTGTATAATCTGAGTTCTTCCCCTCATGAAGGCAGACTGCCATTAGATATTCCCCAATGTCACAAATAAAGAAATGCTAATCTCACTCAAATCTTTCAGCTGTCTAGCAATAAATGTTGGGTTTGGCCCACACTAACTATTGTTTCTAAAACGCCATCAGGTGACTGCGTAATTCCTAAGAGGTACCCACTTGCTGACCTGTCTGCCACACTGGAACCTGATGAATGGGCACAGCCTCCTACTACGCTCTGACCTTGTTTGATGTGGTGGTAGTGGGAGGCAGCAAGAGTCCCCTGACCACCAATGGAAAAATGTAATTCCAGCCACCAGCACCTTGATGGCTGGACTATAATTGAAAAGGATAAGCATATGTTATTACTTTCAACTACCAAAACTACCAGTGTGGCAGGCCTTAGCTCCAGCATTCAGCACTTGATTATGGAGCAGCATCATGATAGTCATTCTCTCTTCCTTAACCCTTTTTAGCTTCAACAGTTCAGAAAGTTTACGGGAGTTTTATGGAGGACCAAGGCTGACACGAAGTCACTCATGAGCAAATCTGGTTCACCTATTCTTATTAACCAAGCCATGCAGCTCTCCCTCCATGGCAGGGTATGGGGGTGTGGGCTAGGGGGTGGGGAATACTGCTTTACTACTCCTTTCAGTCTTACTATAGAGATGTTAATTACATGATTATCATCTAAACATATTAATTTCTTTCCTAAGCAATTGTCATATGGCTTTAGTAAGGCAGAGAAACAATCCTCCAAAGAAAGGAGTGTCCTGTTGGATTCAAAGCAGTGGATTTTCTCTCATGCTGAGTCTTTGAATGCTTTCTTACAAAAACTTGCTCACCCTACAAAAGCAAACCCCTGGCTCACCCCTGTTAAGATCCCCCACTTCTTTTCTGTTTTAATTATTCAAAATTTGAATCCCAAAAGATTAAAAACACAGCTGGCAAAGATAAAACCCTCAGAAGGCAATGGGAGGGTGAAAAGGGAGAGAACAAAGATCACACTTTTTTTTAAGTGGGAAGGTGAGGAAAGAGATGTTTAGAGCTGAGAATGCTCTATAATGTAGAATGGGAATAAAAGCTTGGAGGGTATTAAGGCTAAAGGCTAGAAGAAAGAATTTGAATACCCAGCCAAATAAGTTAGCTTTCTTCTACAAATGATAACAAGGCATTAATTTTTATTATCCTTTCAAGTATGAGAAAAAAGTGAATCAGATAGAGACGTGCATTAGGACAAAATGCATGGGGTAGACATGACTGGAGTTAAAGCCAACAGCTATGATGATAACACACAGCCAGGTATGGAGTAGTGAAGACTCAAGCCTGGCTGGTGGCAGTGAGAATTAAAACAATGGGAGAGAGTTTAAAGAAATGAAAGATTGTGCAAAGATAAACTCAAGAGAACATGGTGGCATGCATACATCTGGTGGAAAACAGAGGAAGGAGTCAAGTTTGGCTTTAAAGTTTTATGTATCAGTGACTAACAATTAAAAAGTGCTATTAGTACAGTGAGGGAGATTTGGAGGATTAAACCTGGCCCTCCCTTGATGGTGTCCCTTGAGGACAAGAGGACCAGGCTTAATCCTCCAAATCTTCCTCAACGTACCAATGGCACTTTTTGATTGTTAGTCACTGATACGTAAGTGCTTAGTGCTCACAAGTACTTCTCATGTTGCTGAGCTCTTACTGATTCATACTGGTCTTCATTGTCACTTCCAGACCAAGTTACCTACCTTCTTCCTACCATGACCAGCTTTGAATCTCATGTCATCACTTTGGAGGATCTATTTCCCCTCCTTTTTGCAGCACCTACGTAATAGGCCCTTCATTTATGAAGATTTTAGCTCATGTTTTATTGAAGCTCTCCCCAACATTATTACTCCTACCCAAATTCTGTGTGATTTCAATAGCTTTAGTGACAATTACCACGGGTACAATGTGTATCAATTTCTGCCAGGCACTGTTTTAAGTACCCTATATATATTAACTCATTTAACTCCCATAACAAGCCCATTAATTAGATATTATAATCATCATTTGATACTATAATTCCCATTTTATAGATGGAGAATTGAGGCACAGAACAATTAAATAAATTGTCCACAGTCATTCAGCTAAGAAGGCTACTGGATGTGAGTCAAGGCATTAAGGCTCCAAAGTCCATGCTCTTATTTGCTCTGAAATATTGGTGGGTAGATGGTGTTTCAGTTCCTGATCTCCTGTCCTCCAACAACTGTACTCTTGACCCTAACAAAGCTGCTCATTCCTTTGATTATAACTTAGATCTTCTCTGTGATTGCAAACCTCTTTAATCTCATTTTCAAATATTTAATTTGCCAACTCTTTCCTCTCAATTTTCTAGCTCTGAATTAGATGGAACCAAATAAAGCAATCCTTTGACATACAATTCATTAATTCTACCATCCTTTTATTGTATCTTACTCCATCAAGTCTTTACTTCCTCCTTATCCAGCTTAAATTTTAGAGTCAATCCTTACCACTCTTTGGCATGTACACTCAACTATCTTGACCTTCTCTTTTCTGTAGATTTGCTGAATCAAATATAATCGTCGTTTAATTGGTTTAGTTCAATCCTTTGTCTAATCCCAGACAATATCCATATGGTTGAACAAATCTAGAGAAAAACACACAACCATCCTGTCAGTTTTCATTTTATGTTCATGATCAAGGACCTGAATGATCATGTTATATTTCCTCTGTCCATTACCTCTCCCAGTCTCTTGGACCTGTGATTCTCAAAATTGAATCCACAGTGCCTTGAGAGTTCCCATGACCTTTGCAGGGGATCTTGAGATCACAACTATTTTCATGCCAATATTTACATGTTGTTTGCTTGCTTTACTATGTTGACATTAGCTTCAAAGGCATAAAAGCACTAGAGGGTAAAATTGTTTGTGTCTTAACACAGTTAAGGCACTGGGACCAAACTGTAGTTGAAATCTCCAAAAAGCACATTCACTTAAATTTTATAAGTCAGTTTCACTTAAGAAAGTCCTATTAGAAGCAGTAAAACTATTAATATTAAATCTCAACCCTTGGATATATGTCTTTTTAATATTCTTTGAGACACAAAGTATTTCTGCTGCATACTAAAATTCAAGAATTGTCTCTAGAAAAAGCACGTGTGCCATTTTATGGAACACTATTTTTATTTGAAAGAACAACCGACAAATTATTGTTATTCGTAACTGGGTATTTGGCAGATATTTTCTCACAAATGAAGAAAGCGAGTCTTTCATTTCAAGAAAAGCAACTGACATGATTTATTGCCAGTGATAAATGTCTTGCTTTCAAATGAAAATCAGAATTGTGGACAACTTTTGTCTGCCACAGAGGGCTCCCTAATAGTTAAAGACTTTTTTTTTTCCCTGAAGAAATTAAGGGTGATATAAATGAAAGTGATTTTTTAAAAATATTGTATATTTGCAGAACTCAGTGAGCAAATATTTTCCAAATGACTGAAACATGATGTTATAAAGTCACTCATGAGTAAAAAATCCAATGAATGAACAAGTGTAACAGACTTCAGTGTAACAGAATACAAAATGTTTATTGATGTGACTTCAGATTTTTCATTGCAACTAGCCTTTAAAAGGCTATACTACAGGAGTGACAAAGAAGACTATCCACTATTATCTAAGAAAGTGATTACTCCCTTTAACAACCACATATTTGTGGGAGGCCAAACAAGCATTGCTCTGTGTGACCCCTTCCTCTCTGATATACTGAGAGCTCAGTAGATGGTTTGCGCTCTGCCAGGTTTTTGCAGGCAGCTCTCCTCTATCCCTCAAATCTATTTTATATTTGTTTCTTTGGTTTCTTGTGGTGCAGGTTGTCTCTGTTCCCTCTACATAGTCCCGGTCTCTCTCCTTCAGTGCTTTTTCCTTTGAGTCTCAATGCAGAAACCAGAGTGATTGTGTAAAATACACAAATCAGATTATATCATGCCTTTTCTTTAATCCTTCAATGTTTTCTCAACTTAGTTATTTTAAAAGCTTAGAATGGCCTAGATGTTACACACGGGATCTGGCTCCCTGTTAACTTCCTAACTTCATTTCCTATTGTTTCCCACTTTGCTCACTGCATTGCAACCACGCTGGTGTCCTTGCTTTTGTTGAACATTAGGCAACCTTCTGCTTCAGGGTCTTTGCTTATGCCCTCTGCCTGGAATGCTTGTCCCCCATATATCCACATGGCTGGCCATCTCTCTTCTTCAGGTCTTTACCCAATATAATCTCAGGGAGAACTAACATAACTACCCCTTTTAAAATTTGTAACTCTCTCTACTCTACCATTTACTATTCTCTTTCAGAGATCTATATTTTCCCCATAGCATTTACTAACATCTAGAGTACTATATCATCTATTTTTAATTTTCTGTTATAGTTTTCACCATTCTAGAATGTGAGCCTCATGGAGGTAGGAGTCTGTGATTTTTTTGGTACACTGCTATAATCCATTACCTTAAGCAGGATCTGACAATAGATGGGAATTAATAAGTTGTTGTTAATGGAATGAAGTGAATAAACACTCATGAGTGCCTATCTAGGCACTGTGCCAAATTCTAGAGACCAAATGATGAAGAAGACATAGAACCCAGCTAAAGAGACAGAGTATGTGAGGAAAGAGAAGATACAGGGTATATAGTAGGGAAAGAATTAAAGGAAATTGGTTTATGTGGCACGTGACTTTACTTTTTATTGTGTTTTCCGTTGATAATTAAAATTTACAATGTTTATGTAAATGACATTGAGCTTAATATATTTTTATGTAAAGAGCTCCATGACCATCCTCCCAAGAACATTTATACATGTCAGATACAAAGAATCAAACTGATATACTGAATAAGTAGTTTTTAAATACTGCTACTTATAGAAGAATAAACTGACATTAGCATTTTTATAAATTAGAGCTATAATGATTAAAAAAAATCAGCTATTTGAAGCAAGAAAATTAAGAACAAACTATCAGAATCCACCAGCCTAGCTCAAATGTATGAAGTGTTCCTATTTGGAAACATAACTTGGTTGACACATTGAATCCCTCTTCTAACACGTTACTCAAAATCATGTGTGAATTACATATGTAAAGCATAGATGACTTGGCTTAAGAATTTAAATGCCATCTTCTTCTTCTTCTTTTTTTGCTGCAGTTTGCTAGCTGTGGAAATGACACTAGCTATGACATAGTATATGCTGACTTAAGGCTACTTTATAGCAAATGTTTTGAGGATCTACATCCCACTGTAATACAGACACAATCATGTCTTTTACTAAATTTTAAACAGTAATAGGAAGAGTTTGTTGGATAATGAAATACATACGGATGAATCCAAGCAAAGAGGTGTTAGACAAAGTGTCAGATGAACAAAACAAACTGGAAGATTTTCATTCTTGGCTAAAAGTCTTCAGAAAATAACAAATTGTAAGAAAGTTATTAGTGATATTTATATTTTTTTCATTCAAATTACCTAATTGAGGGTCTGAAAATATGACCTCTCTATATTCCCATGTAAAAAAAAAATATTTGTTCTATTCAGTATTTTAATCAGACTGTTTATCAGTTCTCACTTGTGCATCCTTTTACATTTCTTACATATATATGAGTTGAATATGAAGTAATTTTACTTTTTGCTCTAGACATTGGGAAAAAAAATCCCAAATCTCAAATTTAAATGTTTTTTTAGGCTAGGTGCAAAGGCTCATGCTGTAATCCCAGCAATTTGGGAGACCAAGGCAGGAGGATCATTTGGGGCCAAGAGTTAGAGACCAGCCTAGGCAACATACCAAGACCTCATGTCTATAAAAAAAGAAAATAAATAGCCAGGTGTGTTGGCACACACCTGTAGTCCTAGCTACCTGGGAGGCTGAGGCAGGAGGATCACTTGAGCTCAGGAGTTCAAGGTTACAGTGAATTATGATGGCTCCACTGCACTCCAGCCTGGGTGATAGGCTGAGGCCCTATCCCTAAAAAAATAAAAACTTTAAAGTTTTTCACTTACATTTTTAACCCAGAGGATTAAATTATTCTATTGATTATCTTCTTTCTAATTACAAGTATATAGACTGTGCTATAAATATTCCAGAAAAAACTGGACGGTATCCACTATTATTCCATAAAATAACTTGGACTTTCAGAGAAGAATTAGAATTAAGAATTACTGGCCGGGTGCGATGCCTCAGGCCTGTAATCCCAGCACTTTGGAAAGCCAAGGCAGGTGGATCATGAAGTCAGGAGTTCGAGACCAGCCTGGCCAACTTGGTGAAACCCTTGTCTCTACTAAAAATACAAAAATTAGCTTGGAGTGGGTGCACATGCCTGTAATCCCAGCTACTCAGGAGGCTGAGGGAGGAGAATTGCTTGAACCCAGGAGGCAGAGGTTGCAGTGAGCCAAGATTGTGCCACTGCACTCCAGCCTGGGAGACAGAGCAAGACTCCATCTTGAAAAGAAAAAAAAAAAAGAATTACCAGTGCAACTAAGTACCCATTGATTTCTTACACTCATTGATGTTTGGAAGTTTGCAGTATGGTAAATAATTTATTAGGAAACAAGGGATTTTATCAGATTTTCTCTAACAAAATTATATTGTTTGATAATGAGTGATTACATGTAGGACTTCAATACTGTAGCAAATTAATATAATATTAAAAAGCACAACATTGTATTCAAATAAATAGAGCAGTGACCAAGTCTCACACTTCTGTGCTCTTTTCCATGCCCCACCTCCTCTGACTGGACTATATTCCTGCCTCCCTTTCACTCTTTCTATCCCTTCTTTTTATGTTATGCTTTTTCCACTTAAGCAAAAGAATAATTTTATTAGAAGGATACTGGAATATCTTACAAAATTTAGGAGCCACTAGACCTAGAAGCCAAAATGAGAAAGCCATAAGTGACCCAGTATTAAGTACTTGCTTTTCATCTCTTGCCTCTTCATCTCTCTGGGTACCAGTTTCTTTCACCGTTCTTTCCAAGCCTGGCTTTTGAGGTCTCTGCAAAGGATGGCAGACCCATAATTCTTGAATTTACATCCCCTAGTTCAAGTTACACCCACCTAGATTAAGTCCAAATTTCTAACTCCTAGAAGAGAACATCTGGAGTAGTTTGGGTCAGGGTTTTATTTATAGTCTAGTCAATTGTGGCCAGCAGAGAGAATCTAATAATAACAATATGCCTGTCAAGGATAAGTCCCTGGAGAAGGGTGTGGGGAAGGAAAGGCAATTCTCAGAAGTATGCTGTAACCTTCTGCTTGGCTAGCTTCCTATAAAACCATCAAGGGCTAATTTGGGTGTCATCTTTTCTGGTTTAATCCTTCTACCCCCACCACTATCCACATCTGGAGATAAATTTATAGAATTTAGTGCCACTAACTAAGCACTCATTTTCTGTTTCTCTCTCTTTCTCTCTCACTGTACAGGAACTTCATCTTCCAGCTTTGTGTGTCTAGTTTTGCTTTGTATCATTGTTCTATGGTAAGGACCTAAGAAATGTTTGTAGAATAAAAAGATCAATCCATGTATGAAGGAAGATTAAGATTCATACCTGACCCTGGTTCTTTGCTTGTTTGCCAAGTATCTATGGCAGTCTTTCATAACAAAAGAAACATAAATGCTTTCGAAATATATAGTGTCTGTAATTTTTAAAGACAATTAACTCTATCTTCTCTTTTTTAAACAACAGCTTTATTGAAATGTAATTCACATACCATCCATCCACTTACAGTGTACAATTCAATGACATTTAGTATATTCAGAGTTGCCCAACCATCATCCTAGTTTTAGAACAATTTCATCACCCCTAAAAGAGACCTTGTACCCTTCAGCAGTCACTCCCCATTTCCCTCCAGTCTACCAGTCCTAGACTATCACTTTCAGTCTCTATGGATTTGTGTACTCTGAACCTTTCATATTAGTGGAATCCTACAATGCATAGGCTTTTGTGACCGGCTTCTTTCATGTGGCATGTTTCCAGGGTTCATCCATATCAATTGCATGTATCAGTAATTCATTCCTTTTTATAGCCAAATACTTTCAGTTGCATGGCTATATCATATTTTATTTATCCATTCATCAGTTGATGGACATTTGGGTTGCTTCTGCTTTTAGGCTATTAGGAATAATGCTACAATGAACATTTTTTCATATCTGGAAGCCTAGGAGTGGAAATGCTAGATCATAAGGCAACTCATTGTTTAACTTTTTGAAGAAATGCCAGATTGTTTTCTAAAAGGCTGCACCATTTTTTGAAAGGATGTGAATAAATATTTGTCCAAAGATGTATAAATTGCCAATAAGCACATGAAAAATGTTCGACATCAATATTAATTAGGGAAATGCATATAAAAACCACTATGAGATGCATTTTACATCCATGAGAAAGGCTGTAACTAAAAACACAGATAATAATAATGATTGGTAAAGATGTGGAAAAATTAGAATCTTCTCTTTATTTTACAAACTCTCACTCTACCACAGAGTGACTGCCCAATGAGAATATTTATGAACTGACAAGCGCTCCAGTGCTATAATAACCATGGTATTATTTAAATATTATTGTAACATGACTTTTTAACTTTTGACATTATCTTTTAAAAAACTTGTAAATATAGATAAATGAACAAATATAAACATAATAGTATCATTTAAAATTTTCTGAAATTGTTTTTGAAGAAATAATTTTGGTATGTGTTTTTTTTTTAAAAAAAAGAAAGAAAAATACTAATATCAGTTTAGTAATCAAATAAATCTCCTTCCATTCCTGACCACTAGCCCCTCAATCCTCCTCCCTAGAAAAATTCTGTGCCAATTTCTTGCTTTCTAAAAACATTTCATTGCATAAGGTTCTCAGTATATATTGATAGTCTTTTAAAAGTTGTCATCAGTGCTAGCATACTAGCATAGCAGACTATACTGAACCATGCTTTTTTATTTTTGCGCAAACACACAAATATTTATTTTTAAATACAAAGATATAAAACTTGCCATAGTTGGAAATTTAAAAAATATATTGCAAATAAGATAGCAATCTGGTTACATTTTTAAGGAGATGGTGCCAAATTTTAAAAAAATCAACAAAGTATTTGTGGCAAATGTTTTTATTTTTATATTAACAACTTATCTTGAGAATTATTCTTTATCATTTCTACGTCATTCTTTGTAATGGCTATCTGATATTCTCTTTAATGTGTGTACCAGAAGATCACTGGAATTTCAGTACCATCTAATGACTCATACCTAAAAGTGTTTTTTATATATTCATCTTCCATTTATATGTATTGACATTGATTCCCTTTGCATTATTATCTTCCATCTTTCTTTTATAAAGTACTTATAATCTAATTTTCTGCTTTTGGCTCAATGAGAACAGAATGACATATCCCTTACAATACTGGAAGAAAGAAAAAAGTTGTTTTCTTGAAAATATAGCCAATAACATATATATTTATTTATAAAGATTTATGTATAAATTGTATGCTTATTATAAAATTATATATAAAATGTATTTATATATGACTACATAAATTATAAAATATAAATTATAAGATTATAACATGCATTTTAAAATTATATGCATATAATTTATGAAATATTCTTAAAATATGTTTACATGCATGGTTTGAAGACTTGGACTTTTAAAAAGTTAAGGTATATCTACTTACATTTTGCATGTTTTTAATATCCTTTTTAAAAATAGACACACAGGTGCTTTTGGTCATCTATCAGGACAAAACACTATAGACATTGCCCAGAAATTACTTGAGAGAAGCAACAGAAGAAGACGGTGGGTAAAATCCTAAGGAACACTGACATTGAATGATTGTGCTTATGAGGTGAGGATTAAAAGAGTTAGTAGCCTAGTCCGATTTTATAATTTGAAGCCTGACTTTTCTCCAAACCCAGAGAGGAGAATTTTAAGCAATACCACCCTGGTCAATCGTCAGGTCACTGGAAATCATTGCCTTTTCACCTGGAATGCATGCCGCATTGCCTCACACATGGCTAATCCTTCAGGTCAACATGTCTCTCCACATTCTTTGTGGTTCCTCATATTGTAAAATCAACCCATCTTGAGTTTCATTACCTCCAGTTTACTGCTGGGTGGTTGGATAATTAATGTTTTCCAGAAATTTGAACTGCTAGGTTAAGGATATGCCAGATAATACTTTTATTATAACAACTGCAGGGCTTCAAAGATGTCAAAAATCAGGCCCCAAGCAGAGTGCCTTGGCAGAAGACATATCCTGACTTCTCTTAAATTAGACCATAAAGTAGGAAGTTATATCACCATACTCTGTTTAAATTTCATACACTCTCTCTAGTTCTTTGCCCACTGAAGATGTTTTTTAATAAATTTATGTTGAATCAAGTTCCCTATTAATAATACCAAGAAGTTGTTACAATTGAGTTTATAATTTGAAGCCTGATTTTCTTATGTTCAGTGATTCATAGTTGAAAATCTCCTTTTTATATAGGAACTCAAGCAAATAAGAAGGCTATTTAAATTGTAATTAGAAAGCTAATTATATTTTGGGCAGAATAATTACTGCATTCTTCAGTTGAGAAAATGCTGCCTAGAAACTTATATTATTTTTTCATTACTTAATACAACAATGTGAGACTATGTCTACCTGAGATATACTGTAGTATCTAACAATATAAAATTATTTCTATCTAACTGCTTTGCTGGATTAATTTTATAGTTTAAGAAACTTTGAAAAATGTTTCATCATTAAGATAAGATTATCAAGTATAGTTCTTCATGACCAGCAGGCAGTTCTTCAGTCTTTTCTTAACCTAACTGGCTTTCTAGATTCTCTAATATTTAAGTTTCTGGTGTATGTTATCACTTTATATATATTTTTCTTTTAAAAGGTTTCTTCTTTAAAATTGTATTTACTCTAAAACAGCCTTAATCCCAAATAAGTAGCATACAAATAAACTTTGAATCCCATAGAATATATTCATTTAATAGGCAATAGTCAAACCTTCTCATGAATTAATAAAAATATTTTTCTATCTATCTTTAAAGCTACTTTTCTGTTGGGAGCGGTGGCTCACACCTGTCATCCCAGCACTTCAGGAGGCCAAGGCAGGCCGATCACAAGATCAGGAGATCCAGACCATCCTGGCCAACATGGTGAAACCCTGTCTCTACTAAAAATACAAAAATTAGCTGGACATGGTGGCGCGCACCTGCAATCTCAGCTACTCGGGAGGCTGAGGCAGGAGAATTGCTTGAACCCGGGAGGCAGAGGTTGCAGTGAGCCGAGGTCGGGCCACTGCACTCCAGCCTGGCAACAGAGCGAGACTCCGTCTCAAAAAAAACCTACTTTCCAGGCTGCTATTGTAGGCAGTCTACAAATTAGGCTGTTTTGAGCAGTTTTGTTTTGAGTTTTTGCCAAATTTGATTTGATTGACTTTTTCACCTTAATACCACAGCTGTTAAAATCCATTAGTCAAAGTACAAATACATCAACAATTGTTTTGACATTAAAAATATACAATTTAGAATGTTACAAAGGAGCTAACATAAATCTCTAAGAGAACTGATGAAGGTTATTTTCTCTTTCTCTCTATTTTTAAATTTGTGTTTAGCATGATTACAGTGATTATTTGTATGAGAGGAATGGAGTGCACATTATTTATCTTCTGGGCAATAATATTTATTACCTAAACACAGTTCTTTTATTACCTTTATTTTTTAACTTTTATAATAGTTTAAATTACAGACATAGTAATGCATTTTGTGATCTAACTGAAGTGACACCATATAAAAATGTATGTATGCAGAATGAGTATATCTCCCATATCCTCTTCCACTTTCACACCCACATGTAACCAATGTGAAAAGCCTGTTGTGATAGTCTTCAGCCCTGTTTCCTCACTCAATGTATACAAGCATCAATGCACATTAAGAGAGACATTTATGTTTATCTGATTTTTAAAATTAATACATCATACTATACATTTTATCCTGTACCTGATTAATTTTAATTAACCATGTATTATGGATACTCCTGCAATTCCACATGCATATCATCTGTATAATACTAAGTCTCAGACAACTCAAATAATAAAAGAATGAGCAAAGGATGTGAATAGGAAATAAAAAGAAAAGCCAGTGGAAATACAGAAGGCTAATAAACATGAAAAAACCCTCATTGTTAACAAGGAAAATGCAAATTTAAGTAATGAGACATCTCTTTATACCTATCAGATTGGCAAATATTTAAATGAATTAGGATGCTGGTCACAAATGAAGATGTAGGGAAAAAGCTGCATAAATTATAATATTTTTTAAAAAATAATCTTTTTTAAAATAGTGTATTAAAAATGTAATCTATCAATTATCTATCTGCTTATCAATAACCTATCATCTATTTAATTAAACTTTTAACCCAGAAATCCTAGGCATTGTTTTACTTTTAGATAGCTACTCCATATAAATAACAGCAATGACATTAAAAAATATAGGAACAAGATGTTCATGTGGGGTGTTACGATAGGTCATGGGAGGGAGTTTATTTGAGAGGGATGCAGAAGGGAAAGGATAGATTCAAGCAAAATAAAAAATTAAAAGACTACCAAAAAAGAGAGTAATCTTATAATTCCATTTATGTAAGATTATATTACATGTATATGTATATCTGTATTAGTTCATTAGAAAAAATTCTATATCAACCTAAAATTTTACATTATTCAGGAGAAGACTTGTATATACTTCTTTAACACATCTGATTCTGAGAACAGTTATAGTAAATATACTCTTATGACTGCAACTGGGAGTGACTTATTGCTCATAATACAATGTATAAAAGTTTTCCAAGGTTCATGCAGTCCTGCTACTTATTGTTTCATCTGTGGTGATTAGTTCTGTCTGTTAGTACTATTAAATAAGGAACTGGAACAAGTTTAATCTACTTTTTTTATTCAATAAACTGCAAGATCACTTTAAAGGACAAACAGCAGGAGTTGCCTCTTAAATATTTAAGAAAGATGAGAGTAATTAATTTCATGGTTAAAAGCATATTCATATTTTATTTTCATCAGTGGTTTTTCCAAATAATATCAATATCATTGTACTTTTAAAAAGCATGTAAAGATTCTATGCTTCTGCAAGTGACAGTTGGTGTGATTTTATTTTAACTTTATGCTACTTACCCATATTAGTGTTATATAGAATCCTGGGATATGAAATTTATAGGTAAGAATTAAGTATACAAGTATCAAATTAGAACTGCTTAACTTTTATTCTAAGCACAATAATTATGCAGTTAAAGGACTACAGACAATAAAAATAAGCATTAATTGTGGGTCTTCAGGGTTACATATATTTCCCAAGCATCTGTTTTTTGAGGTTTTGTGTTTTGTGTATGTGTTTTTTATTATTGGTTGTTTGATTTTGTTATTTTTGGAGATCCTAAAATTTTCCACTGAACATATTGTGGTAATTGTTTCATGTAATGTAATATTATTATTTTGTAGTTGTTCCATAGTTCTTGAATATTCTGCTCTGTTTTTTGTTGTTGTTGTTCTCTTTGCTTTTCAGTTTTGGAGGTGTCTATTGAGATATATATTAAAACTCAGAGATTCTTTCCTCAGCTCTATTCAGTCTACTAATAAGCCCATCAAAGGCATTTTTGTTTCTGTTACAGTGTTTTTGATCTCTAGCATCTTAGGGTTTCCATCTTTCTATTTACATTGCCCATTTGTTCGTATATGCTATCTACTTTATCCATTAGAGACCTTAGCATATTATCATAGTTTTTTAAATTTTCTGTCTGATAATTCCAATATCCCTGCCATGTTCAATTCTGATGCTTGTTCCTCTTCAGACTGTGTTATTTGCCTTTTAGTATGCCTTGTAATTTTTCCTTGATAGCCAAATACGTTGTACTAGGTGAAAGAAACTGCTATACATAGGCCTATAGTAATGTGGAGATAAAGTGTGTGGTGAAGGGAAGAGTTCTATAGTCCTATGATTAGGTCTTAGTCATTTAGTGAGTCTCTGTTCCTCTAGACTGTGAATTTTACATTTTTTTTAGTACCTGCATCCCCACTATTGGTACTTAGAAAACAATATCTCAGAATACGGGGCCTTGTGAGAGAGGAGAAGGAAGAAATGGGTCAAGCAGGCAGTTAGGGTGGGTCCTCGGTCCAATTATTTCAAACAGAAGAACAGCCTGAAAACTCAAGCTTCAGGTACAGATAAGGGAACTTCCATATTGGGGGGCTTGCCCAAGACATGCCCACAGTCTCATAGATAAGAAAGGCTACACAGGTGACTTGTTCAAACATGCCCTTAATGGACAATTTTATCCCCTAACACATGTGCAGTAAGTGGAACAAAGCAATATGGAGTAATTCAAGCTAAGGGCCTGCATGTGCACTAGGAGGACAGGGCAGAGCTGCCAGAAATTAGCACCTTATGCAAATGAGCTGCCCAGTCCTCACTGGTTTATTATAAAAGCCCTTGCATTCAACTGTAAAAACAGCAACCTTCTTCTAGGCCCACTCTCCACAGCAGAGAGCTTTCTTCTTTTGCTTATTAAACTTTCACCCTTTCACCTTCTAACCTCACCCTTTTTGTCTATGCTCCTTAATTCTCTTGGTCATGAGACAAAAACTCCAGGTGATACCTTACAAGTAGAGACTGCTACATTGTGGTGCACTGGTGAGACTGTAATACTTAGAGTGTTAACTGCTTCAAAAATGGAAAGTCCTTAGAAATAAGCCATCCAACCAAGTTTTCTCTGTGACTTTCCCCACAATCTCTGTCTTTCAATTCTCTCTCTCTCCCAAAGCACAGGAGGAGCCTGTTCTCTGAAGTTTCTTCATTTACCTAGATCCTCAAAAGATCTCCAAAGAGAAACACAATTGTCTTCTATTCCTTTGCTGAAAGGTGCAGTGAAGGGGGAAGATTTCTTCACTCCTACACCACCTTTTGGTGTGACAGGATGACCAGAGCTGGCTGGAATTGGGTATTTCTCTTTTTCCAAATCAATTAGGCTCTGATAAAACCCCAGCAGGTTAGGCTCTGGTTAAGTAGTTTTACCTGAGGGCAGATCTTCTTAAGAAGAACAGAATGTTTTAGTGTATAGTAAGGGTTCACTTAACTTTGTCAAAAGGTTCTTGGAAACAGTAACTTTAAAGGAGACAACATATAAGGAAACCAATTTTTTTTGTTGTTTTCTCATCATCAACCTTATAATGAAAAGACTTTCAACAAACCGACATTATTCTAGGACCTGCTCTTCAGTTATTTCATTAAAGCTGCGGTTCCCAAGGACCTGTCTATGATATTAAGTGAGTGTATTTCAAAATGGTTTCTTCCTCCCTCTGCTGCCAGAAACAGGAAATAATTTTTCCTAAATATTTATTGTGAGAATTTGGTCATATTCCTAGAAGTAAAACTCACAAAAGTGTGGGGACTCCTGATAACTGAAGTTATTAAGTCTCTGACTCCTCTACACTTAGCCTCCAACAATTACTCCATTACAGTTCAGGTTTTCTACCCAGGCACTGGTTCCCACATAGGTTTCTGCTCTGGTAGGCTAAACTGTGTAACCACCCTACAAATTCTTCCTGCCTGCTGCACAAAATCAACTCACAGAGACCACAGCATTGCAGTAAAGACAGTTTAACTGATGCAAGGCCAGCTAGGCCACATGGAAGACAGAGTTATTACTCAAATCAATCTCTCTGAAGGCTTGGAGGTTAGGGGTTTTTCAAAGATAGTTTTGTGAGCAGGGGCTAGGGAAGGGGGCATGCTGATTTGTTGGGGATGCAATCAAAGGGGTGTGGAAAATTGTCCTCATGTGCTGAGTTAGCTTCTAGGTGGGGGCCATAGGACTAGTTGAGTTCTGGAAAGACACCCAAAAGGCCAATCTTAAGTTCTTAAAGGGTAATTGGGAAAGTTGCAAATCTTATGACATCCAGAATAAATGCTAGTAATTAGTTAGAATTCGAGCCCCTCTCATCCTCTTAATTGGTGGCCTTTCATTAGTTTTACAAGAACAATATAGTCTTTGAGAAGAGCTATTATGATTTAAATTATAAACTAAATTCCTCCCAATGTTAGCTTGGCCCATGCCCAGGAATGAGCAAAGATAGCCAGCCTATGAAGTTAGAAGCAAGACGGAGTCAGTTATGTCATAATGGCTCTTACTGTCACACTTTCGCTAAGGCAATTTTAACTGCCTCCGTATCTGCTTGTTTTGTCTCTCCAGTTTTGAAGGCAGCAGTTTGCCCTGTGACCTCATTTCCCTTACTGATTCAGGAGGAGTTGCTGATTTTTCTGTTTGTTCAGCTTTTTCTAGTCACTAGAACAGACTGGTGACTTCTATGCTGCTTACATGTGCAATTGAAAAGCAGAACCTCCTGTATAATATTATTCTAACATTTTTAAATTGTTTCAGGATATGACCAATATTTTTCACATCTTCTACTATTAAAAATAATACATGTCTATGAACACAGAAAAATAACAACTAACCAAAACTATCAACCATAACATTTTTCCAAAAATTTTCATCTCATTATTAAACACAAAATATTAGTGTTTAGCAGTTCTTTGAGAAATGATTTACAAATAGTAAATATTTTTGTCTTTATGTGGCTGAAAATAAATGTCAGTCTGCCTCTCTCTCAAAAGATACATTCATTTTTTTCCATTATTTTATTATTATACTTTAAGTTCTATGGTACATATGCACAACGTCTAGGTTTGTTACATATGTATACATGTGCCATGATGGTGTGCTGCACCCATTAACTCCTCATTTACATTAGGTACATCTTCTAATGCTATCCCTCCCCATTCCCCCTACCCCATGACAGGCCCCAGTGTGTGAGGTTCCCCTTCCTGTGTCCAACTGTTCTCATTGCTCAATTCCCTCCTATGAGTGAGAACATGCAGTGTTTGCTTTTCTATTCTTGAGATAGTTTGCTCAGAATGATGGTTTCCAGCTTCATCCATGTCTCTACGAAGGACATGAACTCCTCCTTTTTTATGGCTGCATAGCATTCCATGGTGTATATGTGCCACATTTTCTTAATCCAGTCTATCACTGATGGTCATTTGGGTTGGTTCCAAGTCTTTGCTATTGTGAATAGTGCCGCAATAAATATACGTGTGCATGTGTCTTTATAGCAGCATGACTTATAATCCTTTGGGTATATACCCAGTAATAGGATTGCTGGGTCAAATGGTATTTCTAATTCTAGATCCTTGAGGAATCGCCACACTGTCTTCCACAATGGTTGAACTAGTTTACAGTCCCACCAACAGTGTAAAAGTGTTCCTATTTCTCCACATCCTCTCCAGCACCTGTTGTTTCCTGACTTTTTAATGATCGCCATTCTAACTGGTGTGAGATCATACCTCATTGTGGTTTTGATTTGCATTTTCTCTGATGGCCAGTGATGATGAGCTGCATAAATGTCTTCTTTTGAGAAGTGTCTGTTCGTATCCTTCGCCCACTTTTTGATGGGGTTGTTTGATTTGTTTTTGTAAATTTATTTGAGTTCTTTGTAGATTCTGGATATTAGCCCTTTGTCAGATGTGTAGATTGCAAAAATTTTCTCCCATTCTGTAGGTTGCCTGTTCACCCTGATGGTAGTTTCTTTTTGCTGTGCAGAAGCTCTTTAGCTTAATTAGATCCCATTTGTCAATTTTGGATTTTGTTGCCATTGGTTTTGCTGTTTTAGACATGAAGTCCTTGCCCATGCCTATGTCCTGAATGGTATCGTCTAGGTTCTCTTCTAGGGTTTTTATGGTTTTAGGTCTAACATGTAAGTCTTTAATCCATCTTAAATTAATTTTTGTGTTAGATGTAAGGAAGGGATCCAGTTTCAGCTTTCTACATATGGCTAGCCAGTTTTCCCAGCACCATTTATTAAATAGGGAATCCTTTCCCCATTGCTTGTTTCTGTCAGGTTTGTCAAAGATCAGATGGTTGTAGATGTGTGGTATTATTTCTGAGGGCTCTGTTCTGTTCCATTGATCTATATCTCTGTTTTGGTACTGGTACCATGCTGTTTTGGTTACTGTAGCCTTGTAGTATAGTTTGAAGTCAGGTAGCATGATGCCGCCAGCTTTGTTCTTTTGGCTTAGGATTATCTTGGCTATACGGGCTCTTTTTTGGTTCCATATGAACCTTAAAGTAGTTTTTTCCAATTCTCTGAAGAAAGTAATTGGCAGCTTGATGGGGATGGCATTGAATCTATAAATTACCTTGGGCAGTATGGCCATTTTCACAATATTGATTCTTCCTATCCATGAGCATAGAATGTTCTTTCATTTGTTTGTGTCCTCTTTTATTTCCTTGAGCAGTGGTTTGTAGTTCTTCTTGAAGAGGTCCTTCACATCCCTTGTAAGTTGGATTCCTAGGTATTTTATTCTCTTTGAAGCAATTGTGAATGGGAGTTCACTCATGATTTGGCTCTCTGTTTGTCTGTTATTGGTGTATAGGAATGCTTGTGATTTTTGCACATTGATTTTATATCCTGAGACTTTGCTGAAGTTGCTTATCAGCTTAGGAGATTTTGAACTGAGACGATGGGGTTTTCTAAATATACAATCATGTCATCTGCAAACAGGGACAATTTGACTTCCTCTTTTCCTAATTGAATACCCTTTATTTCCTTCTCCTGCCTAATTGCCCTGGCCAGAACTTCCAACACTATGTTGAATAAGGGTGGTGAGAGAGGGCATCCCTGTCTTGTGCCAGTTTTCAAAGGGAATGCTTCCAGTTTTTGCCCATTCAGTATGATATTGGCTGTGGGTTTGTCATAGATAGCTCGTATTATTTTGAGATACGTCCCATCAATACCTAATTTATTGAGAGTTTTTAGCATGAAGGGCTGTTGAATTTTATTGAAGGCCTTTTCTGCATCGAGATAATCATATGGCTTTTGTCTTTCGTTCTGTTTATATGATGGATTACGTTTATTGATTTGCATATGTTGAACCAGCCTTGGTGGGCTGTTGAACCAGCCCACTTGATCATGGTGGATAAGCTTTTGGATGTGCTGCTGGATTCTGTTTGCCAGTATTTTTTTTTGAGGATTTTTGCATCAATGTTCATTAGGGATATTGGTCTAAAATTCTCTTTTTTTGTTGTGTCTCTGCCAGGCTTTGGAATCAGGATGATGCTGGCCTCATAAAATGAGTTAGGGAGGATTCCCTCTTTTTCTATTGATTGGAATAGTTTCAGAAAGAATGGTACCAGCTTCTCCTTGTACCTCTGGTAGAATTCAGCTGTGAATCTGTCTGGTCCTGGAAATTTTTTGGTTGGTAGGATCTTAATTATTGCCTCAATTTCAGAGCCTGTTATTGGTCTGTTCAGGGATTCAACTTCTTCCTGGTTTAGTCATGGGAGGGTGTATGTGTCCAGGAATTTATCCATTTCTTCTAGATTTTCTAGTTTATTTGCGTAGAGGTGTTTAGAACATTCTCTGATGGTAGTTTGTATCTGTGGGATCGGTGGTGATATCCCCTTTATCATTTTTTATTGCATCTATTTGATTCTTCTCTCTTTTCTTCTTTATTAGTCTTGCTAGTGGTCTATCAATTTTGTTGATCTTTTCAGAAAACCAGCTCCTAGATTCATTGATTTTTTGAAGGGTTTTTTGTATCTCTATCTCCTTCAGTTCTGCTCTGATCTTTGTTATTTCTTGCCTTCTGCTAGCTTTTCAATGTGTTTGCTCTTGCTTCTCTAGTTCTTTTAATTGTGATGTTAGGGTGTCAATTTTAGATCATTCCTGCTTTCTCTTGTGGGCATTTAGTGCTATAAATTTCCCTCTACACACTGCTTTAAATGTGTCCCAGAGATTCTGCTATGTTGTGTCTTTGTTCTCCTTGGTTTCAAAGAACGTCTTTATTTCTGCCTTCATTTCGTTATGTACCCAGTAGTCATTCAGGAGCAGGTTGTTCAGTTTCCATGTAGTTGACCGGTTTTGAGTGAGTTTCTTAATCCTGAGTTCTAGTTTGATTGCAATGTGGTCTGAGAGACAGTTTGTTATAATTTCTGTTCTTTTACATTTGCTGAGGACTGCTTTACTTCCAACTATGTGGTCAATTTTGGAATTCGTGTGATGTGGTGATGAGAATAATGCATATTCTGTTGATTTGGGGTAGAGAGTTCTGTATGTCTATTAGGTCCGCTTGGTGCAGAGCTGACTTCAATTCCTGGATATCCTTGTTAACTTTCTGTCTCGTTGATATGTCTAATGTTGACAGTGGGGTGTTAAAGTCTCCCATTATTTTTGTTTCTAAGTCTCTTTGTAGGTCTCTAAGGACTTGCTTTATGAATCTGGGTGCTCCTGTATTGGGTGCATATATATTTAGGATAGTTCACTCTTCTTGTTGAATTGATCCCTTTACCATTATGTAATGGCCTTCTTTGTCTCTTTTGATATTTGTTGGTTTAACATCTGTTTTATCACAGACTAGGATTGCAACCTCTGCTTTTTTTTGTTTTCCATTTGCTTGGTAGATCTTCCTCCATCTCTTTATTTTGAGCCTATGTGTGTCTCTGCATTGAGATGGGTCTCCTGAATACAGCACACTGATGGGTCTTGACTCTTTATCCAATTTGCCAGTCTGTGTCTTTTAATTGGAGCATTTAGCCCATTTACATTTAAGGTTAATATTCTTATGTGTGAATTTGATCCTGTCATTATGATGTTAGCTGGTTATTTTGCTCGTTAGTTGATGCAGTTTCTTCCTAGCATCAATGATCTTTACAATTTTGCATGTTTTTGAAGTGGCTGGTACTGGTTGTTCCTTTCCATGTTTAGTGCTTCCTTCAGGAGCTCTTGTAAGGCAGGCCTGGTGGTGACAAAATCTCTCAGCATTTGCTTGTTTGTAAAGGATTTTATTTCTCCTTCACTTATGAAGCTTAGTTTGGCTGGATATGAAATTCTGGGTTGAAAATTCTTTTCTTTAAGAATGTTGAATATTGGCCCCCACTCTCTTCTGGCTTGTAGAGTTTCTGCCGAGAGATCCACTGTTAGTCTGATGGGCTTCCCTTTGTGGGTAACCCGACCTTTCTCTCTGGCTGCCCTTAACATTTTTTCCTTCATTCGAACTTTGGTGAATCTGACAATTATGTGTCTTGGAGTTGCTCTGCTCGAGGAGTATCTTTGTGGCATTCTCTGTATTTCCTGAATTTGAATGCTGGCCTGCCTTGCTAGATTGGGGAAGTTCTCCCAGATAATATCCTGCAGAGTGTTTTCCAACTTGCTTCCATTCTCCCCGTTGCTTTCAGGTACACCAATCAGACATTGAGTTGGTCTTTTCCCATAGTCCCATATTTCTTGGAGGCTTTGTTTCTTTTTACTCTTTTTTCTCTAAACTTCTCTTCTCACTTCATTTCATTCATTTGATCTTCAATCACTGATACCCTTTCTTCCAGTTGATGGAATCGGCTACTGAAGCTTGTGCATGTGTCACGTAGTTTTCAAGCCATGGTTTTCAGCCCCATCAGGTCATTTAAGATCTTTTCTACACTGGTTATTCTACTTAGCCATTCATGTAATCTTTTTTCAAGGGTTTTATCTTCTTTGCAATGGGTTCGAACATCCTCCGTTAGCTCAGAGAAGTTTGATCATCTGAAGCCTTCTTCTCTCAACTCATCAAAGTCATTCTCCGTCCAGCTGTATTCTGCTGCTGGCGAGGAGCTGTGTTCCTTTGGAGGAGAAGAGGAGCTCAATTTTTAAAATTTTCAGCTTTTCTGCTTTGGTTTCTCATTATCTTTGTGGTTTTATCTACCTTTGGTCTTTGATGATTGTGACATACAGATGGGGTTTTGGTGTGGATGTCCTTTCTGTTTGTTAGTTTTCCTTCTAACAAACAGGACCCTCAGCTGCAGGTCTGTTGGAGTTTGCTGGAGGTCCACTCCAGACCATGTTTGCCTGGGTATCACCAGCAGGGGCTGCAGAACAGCAAATATTGCAGAACAGCAAATGTTGCTGCCTGATCGTTCCTCTGGAAGCTTCATCTCAGAGGGGCACATGGCCGTGTGAGGTGTCAGTCAGCCCCTACTGGGAGGTGCCTCCCAGTTAGGCTACTCGGGGGTCAGGGACCCATTTGAGGAGGCAGTCTGTCCATTCTCAGATCTCCAGCTGCATGTTGGGAGAACAACTACTCTCTTCAAAGTTGTCAGACAGGGACATTTAAGTCTGTAGAATTTTCTGCTGCCTTTTTTTCAGCTATGCCCTGCCCCTAGAGGTGGAGTGTACAGAGGCAGGGAGGCCTCCTTGAGCTGCAGTGGGCTCCACCCAGTTCCAGTTTTGCAGCCACTTTGTTTACCCACTCAAGCCTCAGCAATGGCGGGCGCCCCTTCCCCAGCTTCGCTGCTGCCTTGCAGTTCGTTCTCAGACTGCTGTGCTAGCAATGAGCAAGGCTCCATGGGTGTGGAACCCTCTGAGACATGCCCGGGATATAATCTCCTGGTGTGCCATTTGCTAAGACCATTGGAAAAGCACAGTATTAGGGTGGGAGTCACCTGATTTTCCAGGTGCCGTCTGTTCACAGCTTCCCTTGGCTAGGTAAGGGAATTCCCTGACTCCTTGCGCTTCCTGGGTGAGGTGATGCCTTGCCCTGCTTCGGCTCACGCTCAGTGGGCTGCACCCACTGTCCTGCACCCACTGTCTGACAAGCCCCAGTGAGATTAACCTGGTACCTCACTTGGAAATGCAGAAATCACCTGTCTTCTGCGTCGCTCATGCTGGGAGCCATAGACTGGAGCTGTTCCTATTCAGCCATCTTCTTGGCACTGATACATTCATGTTTCATGCAATTCTGGGATTAAGTTACCTTTTCTAACTATAGTACTTTGAATATTTTAACCACTATTATTTGTAACCTATTATTGCTCATGAGAATTGCAGTGTTAATATATTCCCTCTAGTAGATTTTGAAATATTCCTTCCATTTGAAATGCAAAGCTTTCTCACCATAATGTATCTATGTGCTTTTTAAACTTGAAGATTTATGGCTTATCTCAACTTTTAAAATTTGCAGAATTTATCTCTTTAAATATTGTCTCTTACTCATCTTCCTTATCAATCCAGCATCCCTGAAAGATGGATATTGGTACTTCTCAATTCATTTTCTTGCATTTTTATTTATCTTTCACGTTTTCCTTCTCTAGCTGTTGTTTCCTTAGTAATTTCATCCCTTCTATCATCTAATTTCTTAATTTTCTATTGAAGTTTTTCCTCTACTAAGTTTATTTTTATTACAATCACTGAATTTTTCATATTTCTATGATTTCTAATTATTCTTTATCAAATTTACCTAGCTATATCTATCATCTATATAAATAAATATACATTGAAAACAATTGATAAACAGAGGACACATACATCAGCTGATCGTGTTTTATAACTCTTCCCCCTCCTTTTTTGCTTTAAGGATTTTAACCTCATTTATTTTGAAGTCATTTTTTAAATGATCTACTTGGGAGGTTTTTAACTGTGTTTAGTGGATTTATATTTCCTCATTTGCTTTGGATTTCTTTTTCCTTAGCTAGTCTTATTTGAGAGTAGTCCTTTTCTTTTGCTTGACCCTTCCTTGTGCATTGCACAGGTTCAAAAATCAGGGAAATGCATACCTCCATCCCAGTTCTTATTTTATAAGGTGGAGAATTATGATTCAAGAGAAAATTGTAGCTCCTGTCTTCCAACAAAATGCAGCAGGCAGGTATTCGTTTGCTTTCTTCCTCCTAATTTCACCACGAGCAAGGAGAACATACAACTGTAAATAACTATCTAGATACAACCATGAACAAGCAGGGCGAGCTTTTACATAATCAAGGAGCACAGCTGATTCTCTTGCTTCCTGTGCAGGGCCTGATTCTGGATCCTGATAATCTGTCAGGTTTCAGTGTCTTTTGGATAGGATTTGGGACCCCAGGCTCTGCTACTACTCCCGATATTCATTCTTTAGTGAATACCAGCATCTGCTGGGCTCAGAGATGTGCATTTCTATCTTATGTCTATGTGGCAGATAGTCTTCTATTCATCTCTATTTCTCTTACTGCATCTGTGATTGTTTGATAAAAAAAATTATAGCTATTATTTTAATATTTTTGTCATGAAGTGAGAAGACTCCCTGTGTTCTTTTTCATCCATTTGCCGTAA